>NC_000007.14:153246258-153397773 GCF_000001405.40 Homo sapiens
CATTTTGTATGACTAAGGTTTCACATAATACAGTTTGGCTAATAAGGGTTGAGTGTTAGCACAAGTAAAAGTGAACCCCACTTCTTTAACTCTGCTCACCTTGTAGATCGGCTTCTCATATGGGGTTTAATCACTGGTTCCGTAACTAAGTAGTTTCTAATCTTAAATGCACATGGTGGTATCAATCAATACTTGTAAAAATATCCATGCTTATCTCATTCTGTTAGGGAGTTGTATTGGTCCTGCCTCTTAGGCTCTCTGGAGCTAGGAAGCATGCAGCTGCAAAATTTTCTCCAGAGAAACTGGAATTCAGACATTTTCTTTTATATTTCTGCACTTCCGAGATTTCTTGCCTACATAAGGATTAATCATATCTTGTCTGGGAATAGGTTCCTGGCCACACTGGGGAGCAATTATGTATCTTGCCTAGGTCCTGTGACTTTTGGCAATGTTACCAACATCAGCCTTAATTAAGAAGTCTACTGAGGTCCATAAACTATAAAGTTTTATTAAACATGATGAAATAAAATATCGACTGCTATTTTTAAAGAAGTGCTGATGAAAAAGGGACTAAACATCAAGGCGTTAACAAATGTGGTTAGATATTTTATGACTTTTTTCTTTACAAATAAAGTGGAACTCTTTGTATCCCCACAAAATGTGTATGTTGGAACCTAATCTCCAATGCAATACTATTAAGAAGTGGGGCTTCAGGAGGTGATTACTTATGAGGCGTAGCCCTCATGAATGGGATATGTGCCCTTATAAATGAGGCCTAAGGGATTTCATTCACCCCTTCTGCCATGTGAGGACACAGCTAGAAGGCACCGTCTTTGAAGCAGAGGGTGAGCCCTCACCAGACACTGAATCTGCTGGTGCCCTGCTCTTGGACTTTCCAGTTCTAAATGTAGAACTGTGAGCTATTCATTTATGGTTTTTATAAATTACCCAGTCTAAGGTATTTTATTACAGCTGCCTGAATGGACTAAGGCACTGACCAGTGACTTCTGTGTGAAATCTTTATAAACGATTGAAATTGTAGGGTTGAGAAGCTGTTAGGCCAGGCATGGTGGCCATGCCTGTAATCCCAGCACTTTGGGAGGTCGAGGTGGATGAATCGCTTGAGGCCAGGAGTTTGAGACCAGCCTGGTCAATCAATATGGTGAAACTCTGTCTTTACTAAAAATACAAAAATTAGCTGGGTGTGGTGGCACGCTATGTAATCCCAGCTATTCGGGAGGCTGAGGCATGAGAATTGTTTGAACCCAGGAGGCAGAAGTTGTAGTGAGCCCAGATGGTGCCGCTGCACTCCAGCCTGGGTGACAGAGCAAGACTCCATCTCAAAAAAAACAAACAAACAAACAAAAAAAAACCAGAAAGAAGCTATTAATAATATTTTTTTTCGTGTGTTTGCATTGGAGAATTTCAAAGAACTTCTCAATATTGGTGCCATTATTGCTGCTGTTACTCTCACTTGCTGTGGATCAATGTTTTGTATGTTGTACTATTTGAATTTATAGATGGGCTTCATAGGCAGCAATGGTGAGCCAGTTGACCTTGATTAAAGAACTGCATGAATATCGGCAAGTGAAAGCTTATGACTTTTATAATGAAGTCAGCCTGTGGCTATCTTTATATCTCTTATATCTGTATATCTCAAAAACCTTCTGCCGGCATTCCAACAAAGACCAGTGAGCCACATACATGTTCTTGAATGGGACAAAGGCATTCTGTAAGAAACTTAGAAGACATACTTTGGCTGTCCTTCATACTAAGCAGAATAACTAGAAAGGATTTATCAGCTTTGTGCCTGCAATAAGTATATGGGTTCATACAGAAGCAATCCTTCATGGCTGAGCCACATTCTTTAAGTCCGCAGTCATAGCGTTTCTAATCACTCTGGGTTATCTCTTATAAAAGGCCATTGCAATCTTAAGGACATTATCTAGACACTGTGTTTGTCTGCTGCTGGTTAGGCAAATGGCAAACCAAAGTGCCTGCTCAGGGAAATTACCACTCTCATTTGTCACCAGCCTGCACAGCAAAAGCACGGGTTCTGTTTCTTGCTGATTGACTAATGGTTTTGAGAAAGAAAAGTGATAGGTAGAATGCTTCTCCTAGAAGGGAAAACTGATAAAAGGAATTGACTACCCAAATCTTTTTCATTTCAATGAGATGTTCTTTTTGCTCAATTTAAATGAGCTTGTCAAAATAAATAAGCAAGCATGGTCACCATGGATGGTAAAGCCAGGTATTCAGTAGAGGAAATCAGTCTGGAGGTGGGGGTTGGTTTCTCACTCTGCTCCAGGCAGGAAAGTCTCCAATCTCATTCACTTCTTGTTCTTGTTTAGCATGCCCCCATTTCCCTCTGCGTTTGATGCAAACCATACACATCTTTTGAGGCCAACTTTAATCTCTTCTCCTCTTGGAAGTCAGAGTATTCTTTTCAGAATTCATAACGTTTTCAGTCTGTGCTGTGCAAGTTGGCACATAGTTAAATTCTTCTTTTTTATACTGTCCTCGCACTGTTCCATGACTGTTAGCCTTACCATTTAAACAGCCTGAGCTTCTCACAGAGTAGAGAAATGTTCTTGAGAACATCATTGAAACACTAGATCAAGGCATGCCTGTGGACTTTGCAATTTCCAGAACCAATAAAAGTATCTTTATTATTTAAGCTGGTTTGAATCATGTTTTTGTTATGAGTAACAAGATGGATATAGGAGATACTTGGTAAATATTTCCATAGAACTTACAGTCATCCCTATTTATCTCAATATTTTATCTCTACTCAGATCAGATGTCATTTCAAACAGAATCATATTTGAACTGCTTCCTTTTTTAAATACCAATATTCAGTTACTTTTAGATGGAGAATACTGCAACATTCCTTCAACCTGTAGGGAAAACTATGAATTAAGGAGAAGAAGTAAAAAGGAAAATTTCCTACTCCCAAACTTTCTCCCTTTATGGAAGGTTTATTGGAACTTCTGAGGAATATGGAGAAAGAGCAGCAGTTGAGGAGGGGATGACTCCACATTAATTTTCAACCTTTTCAGGTTATTCACCTCACTACTCAACTGCTCCATGGCTTGAGTCCAAGAAGGATCATTTCTAACCTTTTCTTGCAAAGTTTTCCATTCTTTTTTCTGTCTCTACCCTTTACCCCATTCATGTGCCAAATATATACCCTTCACACCATTTCTTATGACACACAGTGATTCTCTGCAACAGCAAGGTTTCTCAGTCGGAGAACTACCGACAATTTTGGTAGATAATTCTTTGTTGTGAGGGACTGTCCTGTGCATTGTACGATGTTTAGCAGCATCACTGGCTTCCACCCACCAGATGCCAGTAGCTCCCCTTCCCAGGCTGTGACAACCAAAAGTGTTTACAGATAATAGCCATTCTAGCAGGTGTGAGGTGATAGCTCATTGTGGTTTTAATTTGCATTTCCCCAACGATTAATGATGTTGAACTTTTCTTGACGAAACTGTTGGCCATTTATATGTCTTCTTTTGAGAAATGTCTGTCCAGGTCCTGTGCCTATTTTCAAATTGGGTTATTTGTTTTCTTGCTGTTGAGTTGTTTGAATTCCTTATATGTTTTGGACATTACCCCCTTAGTTAATAATTATATATTATATATTTCAAAGCTAATGAGAGTAAATTTTGAATGTCTCACCACAAAAAATAAGTGAGGTGATAAATATATTATTTGAGCTTGATTTAATCATTCCACATTGCATACATATAGCAAAACATCACTTCTACCCCATAAATGTATGCAATTGAAAAAACAAAATATTTACAGACATTGCCAAATGTCCCCTGGGAGTCAGAATTGATGCCTCCTCCCTTTGAGAACCTTGGCTGGGTCTGTGGGCAGTAGACCAGGTGTAATTTGGGAAAATGACTCACCTCCACTGTTTCCTCTTTGGAGACTCTGATCTATGCCATTAGCTTGCTGAATACATTCACTCAGGATCTCCATCCTGAAGTGACAAAAGAATCAAGATCCTTGGAGCTCTCAAAATAGAATTTATACTAGTTTCTTTCAAGCCAAATCCTCAGCAATCACTGTTCTATCAGATTATCTCACTCTCCAGTAAAAAATTGGGCCAGGTGTGGTGGCTCACACCTGTAATCCCAGCATTTTGGGAGGCTGAGGCAGGCGGATCATGAGGTCAACCTGGCCAACATGGTGAAACCCCATCTCTACTAAAAATACAAAAATTGGCTGGGCATAGTGGCGTGCACCTATAGTCCCAGCTATTTGGGAGCCTAGGCAGGAGAATCACTTGAACCTGGGAGGTGGAGGGTGCAGTGAGCTGAAATTGTGCTACTGCACTCCAATCTGACAACAGAGTGAGACTCTGTCTCAAAAAAACACGTTTTTTCTCAAACATAAACATAAAATAAATGAAAAAAATCAAGATACCTTGCACTCTGATCCCTTGGTTAATCTGTCTTATCTCAGCATTGCCATGGTTTTTATATCATGTGACCTTTCCTCAATTTGATACTGTGTTTTCATCATGATCAAGTGCCCTTTATTCACTAATAGACATCTTCATTTAACTTTCCCCAATTCAATTATCTCTTATGAGTGTGCAGAGCATTTACTGCTGAGTACTGATCTGATACCCTGACCTTCACCTGGTCTCACAATAAATAGTCAACCATGTGAAGCATTACTTATAATAGCTAAGACATGGAAACAAATGAAGTGTGTGCCCACAGATGAACGGATAAAGACAATGTGGTATATATACACAATGGAATACTATTCAGCCTTAAAAAGGAGATACTACCAATTGCAACATGGATGAACCTGGAGGGCATTAGGCTAAGTGAAATAAGCCAGCAGAGAAAGACAAACACCTTGTGATCTCACTGATAGGTAGAGTCAAAAAAAAGTCGAACTCATAGTAACAGAACAGAACGATGGTTACCAGGATCTGGGGGGTTGGGGAGAGCTGGGAGATGTTGGTCACAGAGTCCAAACCTTCAGTTATAAGATGAGTAAGTTCTAGGAGTCTGATATGCAGCACAGTGACTGTAGTTAATGATAAATGTATGTGTGAAGTTTGCTTAGAGAGTAGCTCTTTAGAGTTCTTATCACACACAAAAAAAATGGTAACAAGGTTGGGGGTAAATATGGTAATTAGCTAGACTGTGGGAATTGTTTCACAATGTATAGGTGTATCAAAACATTACATTGTTCACTCTAAATGGAGTCAAGTTTTATTTGCCAATCATAGCTCAACAGAGTTGGAAAACAAAAACAAAATCCCCCAAAACTGATGTGCTGGGGTTGCTACCCATAGCTTTCCCTGGATTTGCAGGTGGAATCATAGCCTGAATCCCCAGAAGAGTTGGGAAGGGACAAGAGGGTAAAACTTGCCCTCATAATGGGAGTGGAGACGGGCTTCTAGCTTGCTTGGACAGGATCTTCACTCTGATCTGGGTGCTCTCTTGGTTGGCGGGAGGAAGCTTGTTGCCGTGTCAGAAAGATGCTGCGCGTTTCTGGAAATGGGCAAAGACAGCACTTACCTGCACGGAGGTGGGCATTGCAGCCCCAGGCACACCCCCCAGCACCACGTGAGTGACATCACACACTTTCGCCTTGTAGCCTTGCAGCATTCAATACGTATTTGTAGACTGTAGTTTTGAAAATTAATTAAAAATGTATCTTTCCAGGTCCTTGCAGTCTAATAGGAAAACCCACAACCCCTAACTCAGTGACCGGCACATGTGACATGCTCAGGTGCCTGTGCCGTTGTTTCCGTTTGTTGAAGAGAATATAATCATATATTAGATAAAATCACACGTGGCAGTGCTGAGGTGAGGCAGATTAACCAAGGGATCAGAGTGCGCATATCTTAATTTCTTTGTTTATTTGGTTATTATATGTTTGCATTTGAGAGCAAAGACATTTTCATCTGGATAATAAGGCTTCATCTGACTAAGGTAGAGAATTATGGAGGATTTTGTCCTAATAGTAATTTCCCAGTGTCTTGATTGATTTATTATCCAAAAGATAGCAAGTAAGAAAATGGAATAAAGCTCTCGAGAGGACCGGTACTGAGCTGGGATCAAGAGATCTGGCTTCCTGTCCTCATCTATGGATGGCCTGGGATAAAGTCTGACTTTACCTTCCCAGGTATCATTCTGTATGTTTATGTATTTCTTATATAAACAGGAAGTGTGGACTAGATAATTCAGATGATTTCTGACATTCTATGATTGGATTACAGAAGTTCTGACTTTCTGAGCAGCAGGTTTTAAAACCCATTGTTTTCACTCTTCTTCCATCTCTTAGACCCATGAGTCTCCTGGGGATGGTTATTGATAGACATATTGTACCTTAAATATTTTTGATGTGTGTGATGGTTAATTGTATATGTCAATTTGATTGGGCCACAGGATGCCTAGGTGGTAGCTGGTTAAACACTATTTCTGGGTGTTTCTGCGAGGGTGTTTCCAAAAGGGATGAGCATTTGAATTGCTGGACTCAGTAAAACCCATGGCACTCCCCAGCATGGGCGGGTGTTATCCTGTCCGTTCAAGGCTGGAATACAGCAAAAAGCCAGAGGAAGGCTGAATTCACTCTCCCTCTATGGGACTGCTTGAACTGAGGCATGAATCTTCTTCCCTGGGAAGTCCTGGTTCCTAGGCCTTCAGGCTTGGACTGGGATGTATACCATTGGCTCTCAGGCTCTCAGGCCTTTGAACGACACTACTGGCCTTCCCAGGTCTCCAGCCTGCAGAGGGCAGATTGTGGGATTTCTCAATCTCTATAATCATGTGAGCCAATACCTTTTAATACCTTACCCCCTACCCACTCTCTGTGCCTACACACACACACACGCACAAAAATACAGACAGACACACCCACACCCACACACACACAAGCATTCACAAAAAGACAGACACACACACGCAGACACACACACGCAAGCACACACATTCATGCATGTATTTGTTTTGCTTAGTTTCTCTGGAGCATACTAACACATGCAGTGTGCTTCTGCAGTCCTCTGCGTGCCTGTCCCAGGTAGACAGCACCTGTGCTCCCTCTCATCCCTGCACTGCCACAGTTTGCTACCCTGCCTCTCAGGGCCTTTCCTTTGATATAAATGTGTAGGTGTGGGCTGCATACAGACCTAGTGGGCAGCTGTGTGTTCTCATTCACTCCCCATTCCCTGGGAGGCTATCATAGCTCCAACTGGAAATCCAGATGGGTCATAGTCCCCCATTGGCCTTAGCTGTTAAAGTTGTTAAAGTCAGTTTGTGAAAGTCCTCTGAGGATTCTAGCAACAGAACAGCAGGAAAGGCCTTTGTGTTCTAACTATTTCTGGCTTTACCTTCGTTTTCTTTTCCTACATTCATTTTTCTTTTCTCTCAATTTCTTTATTAACATTTCTGTTTTATTTTTAAAGTCTTGTCTATGAACACCTCCACTCCTTCTCCTCAAGCTTAATGAGAGTACCTGGGATTCTAATGTTTGTTTGTTTATTTTTATTTGTACAAACTTACGGGGTACATTTGCAATTTTGTTACATGCATAGATTTTATAGTAGCCAAATAGAATTTTTAGGGTGTCCATCACAAAAAAAGGCACATTGTACATAATAAGTAATTTCTTATTATAATGTTTAATTCACACTTCTGGGCTTGAGCAAATATACGTGAACAGTAAATCTGAGTCAATGCAAATAGGCTATCTGGGAGGAACACAGTTAGCACAAATGACCCCATCCATAGCTGTGATTCAGAAAGTAGGATGTCAAGGAAAGGAGACAGGTGCAGGTGACTACTGAAGTGTTTTGGTGTGGAGGGACAGGGAGGGAGTGTGCCGTGGCACAGAAGCAGAGCAGGACAGCCTCTCTGAGAGTGTGCTGCAGATATCTGGGGTGGAGGGTGAGGGGTGGTGCATGGCAGGAGCTGGGTGAGGACGTCACCTCTTACCTCTGAGGTACGACAGCAGGAAGAGGATCAGCGCCAACACAGTGGCAAACTTACCTTGGTCCTGATTCTGCATGCAAGAGATCTTTTCGCCAGGCCATTGAGTAGACTGGACAGCCTTTAAAGAATCCAGGCCATCGTTAAAAACACAGAAATATTAGTAACTTCAATGCCCAGGGCTGAAAAAAAACAGCCCAGCTTATTCCATTATGCTGACCTACTGCTACACATACGAGATGATTCTAGAAACAAAAACACAAACCTTTAGCTTCTTGGCTTTAAGATGAGTCATAAGTGATCCCATGTGGGCAACTAAGCTACTCACTGACAAAACTTAATTATGTTATGTATTTTGGAAAATGGTATGATTCAGCCACAGGGACTCAATACCCCTCAGAAGCGATCAGCATTTTAGCAGTCTTTTAGATCTAATTTTCAAATGGAAAGTAATCGTGAGGGGACACATATTATTTAACACTCATCACCATATATAAGTGTGCTTGCTGCTGTTTCTGGATTGAATAAGCCAAGAGCTCATCTGGGCATTCTGTGGGACATGAAAATTCACTTGTGGTTTTTCTTTCAAGAATTGCAGCAGGATTGTAGGAAGTTAAAATTGATTTGTAATCATTTGAGAGATGATGATCTGGAAAGGAAAATAATCTGTAGGTCAACAGTGATAAATTTAAGCAATTTCATAGCAATTTTCAAGTTCTTGGGACATGCCTTGCTTATTTCCAATTTCAAGTGTTCGTTGTGGCTTAAAAGCCCTGCCTCCCTTCTCTATTTTCCAAGTCTAGGCTGACCATGGTCTGAGCCACCAGCCAAAAGCCACCAGGATTGTATCTGAATTGAATGAGTTGGAATTGACCTTTTGTTAAATGAGCTGAATCTCCCGAAAAGAAGAAGCCCATGATGGAGAACTGTGGAGTACCAGCATCTCTGTTGGAGAGTGTTAGAAAGGACTTACTACAGGAGCCTGGGCCTCGTGTGAGGTGAGCCGGGGGATGGTCCCAGGAAGTGGAGCTTTGCTGTGGACTGGTTATTATCAGGAAGCAGGGCTAATTCTCTAGTTGGGTAGCTCCATAGATCACACTGAGAAGACAGGAAGACTAGACTGAGGCCAATCATTCTAACTGATGAAGTGACAGGAACTCCCATCAGCTAGGATGGTGGTATGTTTGCTCACAATGATGCTCTGTGTCCAGACATAATTACAGAGGGTCTTGTTTTTGCCTTGATCCATCACGATCACAGAGCAGCCTTGTCTAGTGTTGATGTTGTGTACATTGTTGATTTCAGCAGCAGGATACAAGGCTGTCTTCTGGAGGTCAGGAGCTGCTTTTCTGTTTCTCACCATTGAACTTACATTATCCAAATTGGGACACTTCAAGAGTGAATGGGGGTGCCATTGATAGTGGCAGAGGCAGACAAATGCCTAGGCAGATGGGGCAGGTGCCCAGTGAAACTCCACCTCCAAGCCGAAGACAGCTTAAAGCCTGAAAGCCAAGCTACAAGTCAAATCCATGGACTGGACTGAGAACCTGTCCTACCATGTGGCGTGCTTTCCTCTGATTGATCCTCACCCTTCACCTATTTTACATATACCTACCCTTTCTTAATGGGTTTTCTACACTGCTGTGCCCACCTTTGAGTGGTGCCTTTGCTTCAGCCTTTCTTTGCATACGCACAAACCAATCATCATGCACTCTCCTATTCTGAGCCTATAAAATCTCAGCCACACCAGGAGAGTAAACAACGGACTGTGGTGGTGGGGGACCACCCCACGTCCCCTCTCTGCTGAGAGCTGTTCCATCGCTGAATAAAATTCTTCTCTGCCCTCCTCACCCTTCAATTGTCAGCATATCCTCATTCTTCTTGGACGTGGAATAAGAGCTTGGAAACCACTGAATGTGGGTACAAGATACAACACAGGTGGACTGGGGCTCCACACCTGGCCCAGCTGTGGGCTGAGCTGGTGCACAAGCCAGACTTGACTGAGTGCCTCCTGCAACAGGTAGGGTCCCTTCTGCAGCAGGTAGAGTGCCTGAGTTAGGCCTCAGTCAGGGCATCACCAGCCAGAGGTCCCCAGCTGGCAAAGTGACTGAGAAAAATCCTGCATCACTGTTAATCATTTTGCAGGATTGACAGGTGTAAACTGTGACTGCTGTCAAGAAACGGGCTGGGGCAATGTTCACACTGAAATCTTGCCCTTCCAATTCAGCTGCCCCTTCCAAAGGTCCCCTTTGCACTGTTTTTATCATATTAATTAGTATCATTGGAGCTCCCAGTACAATGTTTCTCTTTCATACTACATTTTGTGCTTCATCAGGTAGGATCTTGTCAGGAAACAGAATTGTACCCAGAGGTTGTAGCTGCAGAAACCCAACAAAGGCATTGATTACTGAGGACTGTGCTTTAAGGTTTAGGGATGCAGCAGGGAGAGCTGAAGCTAGCCACACACTGCAGAAGGCTTTGCTGCTGGGCAAGAAGGAAATGGTGGTGGGGCTGCAGCCCTGAAGGGGCCTCTGGCAGGAGCTGTGGTTAGGAGGGCAGCAGTCTCTCTGCCTGGGGCAGGGGGAAGCTGGGAGGGAGCAGTCAACCAGACCCAGCTAGCAAGGGAGGTGGGCAGGACAGGATGGCGAGGAAGGGGTAGGGGAGTAGTCCGCAGCTCAGCACGGGAGACTCTGTGCACTTACGAGTACACCACTTCTGCATTGTTCTAACAACCTTTAGAGGGAGGCCTAGTAGGTCGAGTGTGCTCATTGCTCATTTTACAGAGAAGGAGAGTGGGCCCAGGGTCAGATGTGTCCATGGTGATGTGGCTGGACAGCCACAGGGACTGGCAATATAGCTCCTGACTTCCAGTTCAGTTGATAGCAAAACAGGGGGCAGGGAGTGTGGAAAAGACCTCACAACTGCCAGGGTGTGAGTGGAGCAGGAGACCTGGTCAGAGAGGAAGGAGGTGATTTGTGTGGTATGTTCTCACTCAGCTATATGCAGCTGCAATGAAGGGAAGGTTTTCTGAGAGTCATAGTGGCATTCGGGAGAATCCAAATGGTTTTGACAAGCAGCAGAGCAGGACGCAGTCACTGTTACCAGCACCTGATGGTTTTCTCCCTTGCTTGCTTTCTTTCCACTCTATTAATTTGTTTGGATGTTGAAGACCAAGGGCCTATAATTCTGTAACATTTGTTGAAATCTCATAGAGCTGTCTGAGTGAAATCAAATGAAGATGGATAAAGGGAATGGGGGTGGGATTGACTTGATCTACTGTGAGGAGTGAGGGAAATTTGGATTGGGTCAGATGGGAGAACACAGAACTCCAGAGGAAGAATGGAAGACTCTGGAGTCAGAAGGATGTGCCTTGCACCCATGCTTGTGTGTGCATGTGTGCACATTATGTGTGAGTGTGCATGTGTGCCCCTGCATGTGTACCGTGCGTATGTGTGAGTATGTGTGCATGTGTTTGGCAGGCTGGGAAAACCAGGTGTAGGTAGCTCTCAGGACTAGTAGATGACCAGCCTGAGAAGTGATCATATTGAGGACACAGCATGTGAGGTGAGTTGGTGTCAGATCCTGAATGACAAGAAAAGTGATTTGGATATGGTCAAACAGTAGGGCAACATGTGTCCAGATTTGTCCTGGACAGGTTTTGTTCTGCGGTAATTAGTATCACCAGCATGCCCTTTGGCCTGCAGAAGTATCTCCAACAAATTATTTGGTCATCCTTTCTGATAGGAAGTGGGAAACCATTGTAGGCTCAAATGTTCCAAGCTGGACTACGGATTCTAGTTAATTATCCTTGTCTTCTGTTCCTGGTCCTATCCACAAGTGCAAGGCTGGACATGACTCTTCACTCTGTCTTTGACTCTGAGTTCAATTCTTGATTTTGACAGAAGGTGTTTTTTGTATCTCTTTCCCAGACCTTCTGCTGAGGATATATGGCTCTGAGTTTGCAGAAGATCAAAACTTTAAATAAAAATCGGTTAACTATGTGAGGTGATGGATATGCTGATTTGCTTGACTGTAATAATCATTTCCCAATGTATATGTATATCAAACCATCAAATTGTATAAATTGTATTTCAATAAAACTGTTTTTGTTTTGTTTTGTTTTGTTTGAGATGGAGTTTTTTGCTCTTGTTGCCCAGGCTGGAGTACAATGGCATGATCTTGGCTTACCGCAACCTCTGCCTCCCGGGTTCAAGCGATTCTCTTGCCTCAGCCTCCTGAGTAGCTGGAATTACAGGCATGTGCCACCACGCCTGGCTAATTTTGTATTTTTAGTAGAGACAGGGTTTCTCCATGTTGGTCAGGCTGGTCTCGAACTCCTGACCTCAGGTGATCCACCTGCCTCAGCTTCCTAAAGTGCTGGGATTACAGGCATGAGCCACCACGCCCATCCAAAACTTTTCTTTTTTAAAAAAATCAAAACTTTTCTCTGGCCCAGTTTTCAGGGCATGGGTGTTTCCTGTGATTTAATTGTTCATTATCTTTACTTGTGGCAAAAGAGCACGCGCGTCTCCTCCTTCAGAGCACGTACAATAAGCGACCTTAGCAGAAGGAGAGAACTAGCAGGAGAACAAGGGAGGGAGTTAAGGTCGTTTTCCAGCAATTGTGTATTCAGGAAGTGTGAGGGCACATTGTTGTTTTACATTCATATGCAAATAGCTCTGTGTCTTGACTGGCTTCAAGGAAAGCTTTGAAAACATCAAAACAGAACTCTGTCTGAAAATGTTCTTACAGCACTGTCTCCAAAACATTCATGCCTTAAGTGATGAATACCTAAACATCTCTCAGTCAGAATGGCTTTCTTTCCTCTCTTCCCTGATATGCATAACAATGACTAAGTGTGGACTTCTGATTTCTTTTTCACACAATGGTAGCCCATGCAGTGACCCTCATACTTCTACAAACTTAGGACACTCTTGGAGTAGGTACTTTGGTGACTGGCTTACAATACTGCACGTCGCAATCTGAGGGCATTGAATGAAGCCTCTATGATCATGAGGATGTTAGAAGGCCAGCCATCCAGGATCCTGGAGACTTGAGATGGAATCAAAGAGGCATAAAAGGTGATTAAAGCGAGAAAACCTGAGAGGCACATCTACCGTACAGCTACTCTCAGAGTTTTTCCATACAATGTGCTATAAGAAAAAAATGACTAACATGTGCATTGAAACTTTGTTCAAAATACAAAATTCAAGCTGGCATTCTATGTTTGCCAAATTCTGACCCATGTGTCTTTCCAGCTTTATCCTCTGCTATTCCTCTATGCAAATATGATGGTGTATCTAAACTAACCTTGTGTCTCCTGCATATGTACACTTGCTTCTAGAAAATGTATGCACACTGCTTCATCTGCAGTGCCCTCTTTCACCTCTTTTTTTGTTTTTTTGAGACGGAGTCTTGCTCTGTTGCCAGACTGGAGTGCAGTGATGCGATCTCGGCTCACTACAACCTCCGCCTCCTGGGTTAAAGTGATTCTCCTGCCTCAGCCTCCTGAGTAGCTGGGATGACAAGCGTGTGCCACCACACCTGGCTAATTTTTTGTATTTTAGTAGAGATGGGGTTTCATCATATTTGCCAGGATGGTCTTGATCTCCTGACCTCATGATCTGCCTGCCTTGGCCTCCCAAAGTGCTGGGATCACAGGCATGAGCCACTGTACCCAGCCACTTCTTTTCATATCTAGGTTGCACCTCCTTTTCTCTATGAGCCATTGTGTCTGCTCCAGTCTGGAGTGATTTGCTATACCTCTGAGCACCCACCTACTTGCACTGGTGTTGGTTATTTAGTAATTGCTAGTAGCAAGAGCATAACCCTGTTGTCCTAGTCCATTTTCTGTTGTTATTACTGAGTATCTGAGACTGGGTAATTTATATAGAAAATATATTTACATTACTTCCTACATTGCTGGAGGCTGGGAAGTTTAAGGTTGAGGGGCTGCATCTGGTGAGGGCCGTCTTGCTGGTGGAGTCCCAAGGCGGGACAGGGCATCACATGGTTAGCGTGCTCATGAGAGACAGCCAAACTAGATTTTATAGTAGACTAGCTCTTATGATAAGTAACCCCCACCATGATAACTCATTAATCCATTAATCCATTAATCCATGAATGAATTAATCCATTCATGGCAGAGACCTCTTGACTCAGTTATTTCCTAAAAGTCCCACCTCTCAACACTACTGCATTGGAGATAAAGTTTCCAACAGATGAACTTATGGGGGACACATTCAGACCATAGCACCTGCATTCAGAGTTGAGTCTTCCTTCATACTCATCTTCCATGTAGCAGTTGGATAGTCTTGGGTGAAAACTTCATATGTTTGAACCTAGTTTTTTCATGTGTAAATTGTTGGGGAAGGAGCAAGGAATGTGGTTTATGGCCAAGTTTACCGGCTGCCTAGTAGGTTGGGTCCCCAAGGCACACAGGTCAGAGAAATTGCTCAGAATCCCAGTTTGGTTGAGGTGTTCCCTTTGGATTGACGCATTCTTCTTGTCCTCCTTGCTCCACCCCAAGTCCATGTCTCCAGTGTTTCACTGGCCAACGTTCATCAACATGACCTATCAGGGAGCCTGGATTCCTTTGCTCTTTTAGAAACCAAGATGCCAGTAGCTTGCGCCTGTATGAGTTTTTCATTGCTTTCTCTGTCTCCAGGGTTTTTTCCTACAAGATTTATTTCTGAGTTAAGGAGTGTTTTACAGCTATATTTCTGGAAACCAAACAGAAAAATAAACCACTCAAACATCTGTACTTGGTCCTGTTGACTGTCTAGAAAACTCCTATTAGCCTTTCTTAATGAGTTGTATATGCTTTATTTGAGAGATTTTTCTGCCCATTGTCCTGGCCTGGCCCATTCTGCTGCTGAGGGATTGCAACTGAATATTGTGCTAGTTTAGGGGAGTTTGTGACATCATTGATTTTAAGGGGTGAAGCCCTACAGTTTTCCAGAGACTTACTTGAGGGGGGGCATTGCAAAATTATAGGCAGTGAATGCTGTTCCTACAGTAGGCTATAAGGAGTAATTGTACTATCATGTCCTTTAATTTCTGTCTTTCAGAGTAGAATAGACCATTCTGGGAGGTCAAGGGGAGTTCTTCCAAAAAATCAAGGCATACCCCATATTTGATAGAACTCAATATCCAGCACCTAAAAACTGATCACAGTCACTTTTTACTTTATACACCTTCACATTTTTAAAATTTGGTAAAGATACATTACTTTCTCTAATAAAGTAAGTGACAAAGGAAAACCCCTAGTTTCCAGGGAAAATCACTGTAAACAGGTTTCATGTGCTTTGAAAAAGCATGAGTGAAAAGATAGATACCAAAATCAAGATGATTATTTTCTATATATATATGTATTATGCAATTTGTTTTTTTCTGGCAATTTGCTGTAACAGTATATCATAAAAATGTACCTGATACATTTGCTGGATCTTCTTAGATTTCCTTGTTTGCTTCCTGAATCCACAAATGCTTACCACACTTCACTGCCCACAATTGCTTGGACCCACATGGTTCTGCTGTGTGGGCTGACCAGTTACCCTCCCCATGGGAGCTGCCAGGGAGCTGGGCCAAATTCTGCATGCCCAGAATTTCTGGCTCTTCCTGTCATTTCTAGTATCTTGAATGTATGCAGAAGGGATCAGATAATGAACAAGTGTACGCAGGGGTATTAACTCCCCAGTAGATCAGATCCCACCAATTGGAAACAGAGGATGGAAGGAAACAAAGAGGACAGACTTCTCCTTCCTCCTTTCCTGCTCTAAGACGTGGTGTCTGTGGCCTGCTTGTCCCAGCAGCATGACCTGCGGCTGGGCGAACCGTCATGGCAAGTGACCTGCTGTGTCATCCCATCACTCGTTATAAAACAATGCCCAGTGAAGTAATGTCTCACCTGGCATAGTTTCCCATCCTCTGTTACCTGTAGAGGGTCCAAGGTATTTGGGGGCCTAACATAAAATAAAGTGTGATCACAAGGTGACACATGCAACTTTATTTAAGTGATGCTTTCATGGGTTCACATGAAAAGGAAGGAAGTCCTCTATAGCAGGAGACCTTCCAGAGCTACAGGATGCAGCCACTACTCAGAAGGAAAGGCTGGAAGGGAATCCCAGGGGGTGAGGGGACTAGAGGGGGGTTCAGATGAGTGGGTGAAGTTGCTCAGCAGCCTGGTGGGGAGTCTGGGTCAGAGAACTCCAAAGGGCAGCAGTAGTTGGCATCTTTATAGCCCTGAGTTTATCTTATATATGGTTAGCACATGTTGGGCACAGTTTTGTGGGCATACAATGGAGGTAGGCTCTAAATGGCTAAAAATATGCATATTTGATCTGTGTCTAAAACAGTTAATATGGAACATTTTGAGTTTGGTGCTAGGAGGATTTTGAACAAATAGGTCTCAGCCTTCTGTGAAGAAGTAAACAACCTAGAGGCCAATTTGCAGGGGCAGTCCTTGGCTCATTTATACAACACTATTTCACAGCTTCTTTCCCTCACTCTTGCTGCCCTTGGTTCATTTATACAACACCATCTCACGTCTCCTTTCCCATCCAGGCTAAAGTGACATCAATGAAAATCAATACAATTGAGCCTTGAACAACATGAGTTTGAACTGTGTAGCTTCACTGATACATAGATTTTTTTTTTATAAAAGTTGCACCAATTGTGCCTGCCTCTCCTTCCACCTCCACCTCTTCTGCCTCTGCCACCTGTGAGACAGCATGACCAACTCCTCCTTTTCTTTCTCCTCCTCCACAGCCTACTCAGTGTGAAGAGGGCAAGGATGAAGACCATGATAATTCACTTCTAATTAAGGAATAGTAAATATATTTTCTCTTCCTCATGATTTTTTAGTAACATTTCTTTACTCCAGCTTACTTTATTGTAAAAATATAGTACATAATACATAGAAGATACAAAATATGTGTTAACTGTTTGTTATTAGTAAGGCTTCTGGTCAACAGTAGGCTATTAGTTGAGTTTTGGAAGAGTCAAAAGTTATACTTGGATTATGGACTGCATACAAGTTGGGGCCCTTAACCCCTGCATTGTTTAGGGATCACCTGTACATGTAAAGTTAGCCTATTTTTTTGAAATGGCAATTGTGTATTGTACTTGTGAATTAGTCTGTTCTCACATTGCCAATAAAGATGTACCCGAGACTGAGTAACTTATAAAGGAAAGAGGTTTAATGGACTCACAGTTCCACATGGCTAGGGAGGCCTCACAATCATGGCAGAAGGTGAATGAGAAGCAAAGTCACATCTTACTTAGCAGCAGGCAAGAGAGAGTGTGTGCAAGGGAACTTCCCTTTATAAAACCATCGTATCTCATGAGACTTATTCACTATCATAAGAACAGCACAGGAATGACCCACTTCCATGATTCAATTACCTCCCACTGGGTCCCTCCCACCACACATGGGAATTATGGGAGCTAGCATTCAAGATAAGATTTGGGTGGGGAGACAGCCAAACCATATCATCCCACCTCTGGCCCCTCCCAAATGCCATGTCTTCTCATTTTAAAATCAATCATGCCTTCTCAACAGTCCCCCAAAGTCTTAACTTATTTCAGCATTAACTCAAAAGTCCACAGTCCAAAGTCTTATCTGAGACAAGGCAAGTCCCTTCTGCCTATGACCCTGTAAAATCAAAAGCAAGTTAGTTAATTCCTAGATACAATGGGGGTACAGGCATTGGGTAAATACACCTGTTCCAAATGGGAGAAATTGGCCAAAATGAGAGGACTACAGGCCCCATGCAAATCCAAAATCCGGTGGGGCAGTCAGATCTTAAAGCTCAAAAATGATCTCCTTTTTTTTTCATGTGTCACATCCAAGTCATGCTGATGCAAGAGGTGGGTTTGCATGGTCTTTGGCAGCTCTACCCCTGTGGCTTTGCAGGGTACAGCCTCCCTCCTTGCTGCTTTCATGGGCTGGCGTTGAGTGTCTGTGGCTTTTCCAGGCACACAGTGTAAGCTGTTGGTGGATCTACCATTCTGGGGTCTAGAGGATGGTGGTCGTCTTCTCATGCCTGCACTAGGCAATGTCCCAGTGAGGATTCTGGCAGGGCCTCCAACCCCACATTTTCCTTCTGCACTGCCCTAGCAGAGATTCTCCATGTGGGCCTACCACAGCTGCAAACTTATGCCTGGACATCCAGGTGTTGCCATACATCCTCTGAAATTTAGGAAGGGGTTCCCAAACCTCAATTCTTGACTTCTGTGCACCCACATGCTCAACACGATGTGGAAGCTGCTAAGGCTTGGGGCTCACGCCCTCTGAAGCCACAGCCTGAGCTGTACCTTGGGCCCTTTTATCCATGACCGGAGCAGCTGGAATGCAGGGCACCAAGTCCCTAGGCTGCACATAGCAGGGGGATCCTGGACCTGGCCCAAGAAGCCATTCTTTCCTCCTAGGCCTCCAGGCGTGTGATGGGAGGAGCTGCCTTGAAGCATGCCTCTGACATGCCCTGGGGACATTTTCCCCATTGTCTTGGTGATTAACATTGGGCTTCTTGTTACTTATGCAGATTACTGCAACTGGCTTGAATTTCTTCCCAGAAAATAGGTTTTTTTCTATCACATCGTCGGCTGCAGATTTTCTAAACTTTTATGCTCTGCTTCCTCTTGAATGCTTTGCCACTTAGATATTTCTTCTTCCAGATACCCCAAAGCATCTCAGTCAAGTTCAAAGTTCCACATACCTCTATGACAGGGGCAAAAAGCCACCAGTCTCTTTGCTAAAGCACAGCAGGAGTCACCTTTGCTCCAGTTCTCAACAAGTTCCTAATTTCCATCTGTGACTACCTCAGCCTGGAGTTCATTGTCCATATCACTATCAGCATTTTGGTCAAAGCTATTCAATGAGTCTCTAGGGAGTTCCAAACTTTCCCATATCTTTCTGTCTTCTGAGCCCTCCAAGTCTCTAGGAAGTTCCAAACATTCCCACATTTTTCTGTTTTCTTCAGAGCCCTCCAAATTGTTCCAACCTCTACCTGTTACCCAGTTCCAAAGTCACTTCCACATTTTTGGGTATCTTTTCAGCAGCACACCACTCTGCTGGTACCCATTTACTATATTAGTCTGTTCTCATGCTGCTAATAAAGACATACCTGAGATGGGGTAATTTATAAAGGAAAGAGGTTTAACTGACTCAAAGTTCCACATGGCTGGGGAGGCCTCAATATCATTGCTGAAGGCAAAGAAGGAGCAAAGGCACATCTTACATGGTGGCAGGCAAGAGAGAGTGTGCAGGGGAACTCCCCTTTATAAAACCATCAGATCTTGTGAGACTTATTCACAATCACAACAACAGCATGGAAAACACCTGCCTCCATGATTCAATTACCTTCCACTGGGTTCCTCCCACCACACATGGGAATTATGGGAGCTGCAACTCAAGATAAGATTTGGGTGGGGACATGGCCAAACTACATCAATTTGCATGGATTTTCTCTAATTTCTGTGATGATTCTCTTGTTTATGAACTTTTACTTTGTTCTTTAACTTTTCTTATCAGAAAGCAGTACTTTGTTGACCATCTTTGTCTACATATCATTACATACCTCAGGAAGCTGAATTTTGGATTAAAAGTCTTTGATTTTTAGTTTCTGATATTACTGCCAATTCCCTTTAAAAACATTATTTCAGTTTATATTTCCACCAGTAATTATATCAAATCACTTCTCTCTTCATATTCTGGATGTTATCATTCAACTCCTTAACAACCTAATAGGTTAAAATTTGATAGCCTATATGTTTTTCTGATCTTTGATGAGGTTGGTTTTTTGGTATGCTAATTATATGGAGCTCCCACTCCAGTTTCCAGAAAGATGCCCATTACTACATCTCTCAGATCTTTAGGAAAGTTCCCTGTGGGCCTGTCTCACATGTATTCAAACCAGCATCTTGGGATTTTCTGCTCCTTGTTTGGTCGTTTATCCCTAGGCTGCCTCTCCCACTGATGATCTTGCAGTTCATGCAGCTGTCCTCTGCTAGTGACTATAATTATTATTGTCTTCTGGTATCAGGGAGGGGCACCTTGCTACCTTGTGGCTCTGTTGTATCACTCGTAGGTTCTCCTTTAATTTCCTACAGCAAAGTTGAATCTTAGTTATAAATGTTAACAAAAATTAACTAAAGATTTGAAGATAATTGAATAAGTGTACCAAATAGAAACTAAAATAAAATTTTCATGCAAGGGCAGAGCTGAGCTTTGGTCCCTTTCTGGCCTGAAAATGAAAAGAAATCTTAACCTCCCACCAGGATACCTCAGTGAAATTTAGGGCCATAAAACCATTGACATGGCAAGTTGATCCTTACTTTTTGTCTTTTTATGTCTTGTTACTGATGCATTGCTACTTAATAGGCAATTTAACATATTATCTCCCCTGCTTTATGCATACACACGCAGATTTTTAAAATTATCATGGTAAGAACACTTCATAATACTGCAGAATGTGGTATTTTTGACTGTACAATGTTGTACAACAGATCTCTAGAACTTATGTATCTTGTGTAAGTGAGCCTTTTTGCCCATTGAACCCTGTTTCCCCTTCCCCCTAGTCCCTGGCACCACCATTGTATTCCCTGCTTCTCTAAGTTTGACTATTTTAGATACTTCATATAAGTGGAGTCATGAAGTATTTGTCCTACTTGTTACTGGTTTATTTCACTCAGCATAATACCTTCAAGTTTCATCCATGTTGTTGCATAAGGCAGGACATTTTTTAAGGCTGAATTCTATTCCAGTGTATCTATATACAATATTTTCTGTATCCACTCATCCATTGATGGACTTTTAAGTTGTTTCCATACGTTGGCTGCTGTGAATAAGCTGCAGTGAACATAGGAGGGCAAATATCTCTTTGAAATACTGATCTCTATTCTTTTGGATAAACACCCAAGAGAAGGATTGCTGGATTATATAGTAGTTCTAATGTTAATTTTTTTGAGGAATCCTAATACTATTTTCTGTAGCAGCTGCATCATTCTACATTCCCACCATCAGCATGCAGGGGGTTCGAATTTCTCCACATCTTCACCAACACTTGTCATTTATTTTATTTGTTTGAAAATGGTTTTTTTTTTTAACAGCAGGCCACTATTTCAACTTTCTTTCAGGTTTTGTTCTCTGATTTTCGCCATTTAAAAAAACCTTCCACAACAAAACAATTGGGGTGAGCTGCAGTCCTACCCTGAGACAAGAGGGTCCTCTGCCCTGGTCCCCATGTCTGGGAGCACTTGGCTCTGGTCCTCCAGTTGCTCTGTCCATGGAGGTGAGGGGTCCCTGGGCCCAGGTTATGTGTCCACTCAGAGCCTGTACCCCATCTGCCTATTTTCATACCATGTTCCAGGCACCCAGGGCCTTGGCATTCTCTGCACACCTGCCCCAAGGCAGGGTTCAGCACCTGCAAGGGTCTCCTTTCCAGGTGATTCTCTTGAAGACAGATGATGCCTCTGGAGTGAACAGCCCTAGACATAAGTGGTGGCCAGGCAGGTGCTGTATGCTATGGGGTTGTGGAAGGAGTATGGACTGAGCTGGGACATGCAGCTTGCGACTGCTACACAGATGAGCTTGAGACTCTCCTTGTGAGGAGAATTTTAATGCCAGCACAGAATTTTAATGATTTTGATAACTCTAAATTTAAACCTGGAGTTCTAGGCCATTAAGGAGATATGTTTTCCAATGAAAATGATGAAATGAAATTTGAAGTTGCCAATAAAATGAAATTTCGGTTTGCCAATGAGATGAAAATATAAATCAACCAAATTTATTTGTAAATACATTACCTTGGGGCATGTGATATATGGGTCTCCATTTTTACTTATTCCTGGGTCCTGGAAATGTTAGTGGCAGCCTGGTAAGCTATACCTGATATGAAGTTTAAGGGACATAGGTCTGAAGTTACTGGATATGTTAAATACAATTGTTTTGTATTCTTGCGTCTTACAATTTCCCACAATCCTGATTTATGCATTTATGGAAAGGATTCTATGGACAGTGATATCTTCCCTGCCCTTTGGCATAGTTCTTGGTTGCTGGTATATGCACAATAAATATTGGACAAATTAATACATGTTATATGAAATCTTCTGGTCTTCTTTTGCACTTGGTTTTACATCTTACCATTATTTGCAATGCAATATTTTTAGCATTTCTTTTGTCTTGGATTTCTTTTGTGTGTTTGTGCTGTCCTGAATGTAAAGCTGTAGCATGGGCATTTGACAATTTGATTCTCTTACAACTCATACATTAGTTACAAAGGAATTTCAAATTCCAGGTGTAGATCAGAAACGAGAAGATTTGGCCGATGGGTTTTTTTTCCATACACTGCAAATTATGCCATGTTCGATTAAAGTGGAATTGCACAATCAACTTATACCTAGGAAGGTCCTAAAGGAGACTGTGTACTCTTGTCAGGATCCCCACTGTGGTCTGTGTTGGCCTAAAGCAAGTTCTACCTACACTCTTCCTCTGAAAGTGACAATAGTGAGACTTCCCTGTGGGCTCCAAGCAGACACTGGAGTTCCTGCTTCCTGTCTGACCCTTTGCCTCCTCCACCCATCAAATATAAATGAATTAAGGACTAACTGTAGCACTATTTAAAAATTTCAAAAAGAAAGTATGTAGTGTCTTTTTGAAAGAGGAAGACATATCCTTGAGGAAGGATTTTTTTTTAAAACAAAGAAAAAAGTGTTCACCATAAAATAAAATAATAGTACATTTAATTATTTTAACATATAGTGTTTATATCCACAAAAAGATAACTATAAAAGATGATGAATATGATCATTTGTTTGACAGTAGTAATCATTTCCCTATGTATATGCATATCAAAACATTATGTTCTATATTTTAAATTTATACAATAAAAATAATTTAAAAAGAATTTTTATTCATGTAAAGACATCATAAAAATACAAATTCAAAAACTGAGAGAAGATAAACAGAACACACATAACTAATAAAGTATTGTTAGAATATATATTAAAATGTCTACAAAACAAGAAAAAGATAAAAATATAAAAATGGGCATAAGATGTAAGTGGACATTTTACTACAGATTGAAAAATCAAATGGACAATAAATATATGATTATATATTGCATTTCATCATTGATTATTGGAAGAATTAAAGAACTTGATAATATTAAATGGTGGAAAGGATGATCACAGGAAGAACTTGTACTCATTGCTGATGGGAACATTAACTGGGATAATTTTTTTTTTAGAAAAGATTCATGTTACGTTCCATCGATACCTAATTTATTGAGACTTTTAAGCATGAAGGGTTGTTGAATTTTGTCAAAGGCCTTTTCTGCATCTATTGAGATAATCATATGGTTTTTGTCATTGGTTCTGTTTATATGCTGGATTATGTTTATTGATTTGTGTATGTGGAACCAGCCTTGCATCCCAGGGATGAAGCCCACTTGATCATGGTGGATAAGCTTTTTGATGTGCTGCTGGATTCAGTTTGCCAGTATTTTATTGAGGATTTTTGCATCAATGTTCATCAGGGATATTGGTCTAAAATTCTCTTTTTTTGTTGTGTCTCTGCCAGGCTTGGGTATCAGGATGATGCTGGCCTCATAAAATGAATTAGGGAGGATTCCCTCTTTCTCTATTGGTTGGAATAGTTTCAGAAGGAATGGTACCAGCTCCTCCTTGTACCTCTGGTAGAATTCAGCTGTGAATCCATCTGGTCCTGGACTTTTTTTGGTTGGTAAGGTATTAATTATTGCCTCAATTTCAGAGCCTGTCATTGGTCTATTCAGAGATTCAACTTCTTCCTGCTTTAGTCTTGGGAGGGTGTATGTGTTGAAGAATTTATCCATTTCTTCTAGATTTTCTAGTTTATTTGTGTAGAGGTGTTTATAGTATTCTCTGATGATAGTTTGGCTATCTATGACAAACCCACAGCCAATATCATACTGAATGGGCAAAAACTGGAAGCATTCCCTTTGAAAACTGGCACAAGACAGGGATGCCCTCTCTCACCACTCCTATTCCACACAGTGTTGGAAGTTCTGGCCAGGGTGATCAGGCAGGAGAAGGAAATAAAGGGTATTCAATTAGGAAAAGAGGAAGTCAAATTGTCCTTGTTTGCAGATGACACGATTGTCTATCTAGAAAACCCCATTGTCTCAGCCCAAAATCTCCTTAAGCTGACAGGCAACTTCAGCAAAGTCTCAGGATACAAAATCAATGTGCAAATATCACAAGCATTCTTATACACCAATAACAGACAAACAGAGAGCCAAATCATGAGTGAACTCCCAGTCACCATTGCTTCAAAGAGAATAAAATACCTAGGAATCCAACTTACAAGGGATGTGAAGGACCTCTTCAAGGAGAACTACAAACCACTGCTCAATGAAATAAAAGAGGATACAAAGAAATGGAAGAACATTCCATGCTCATGGGTAGGAAGAATCAATATCGTGAAAATGGCCATACTGCCCAAGGTAATTTATAGATTCAATGCCATCCCCATCAAGCTACCAATGACTTTCTTCAAAGAATTGGAAAAAACTACTTGAAAGTTCATATGGAACCAAAAAAGAGCCCACATTGCCAAGTCAATCCTAAGCCAAAAGAACAAAGCTGGAGGCATCACGCTACCTGACTTCAAACTATACTACAAGGCTACAGTAACCAAAACAGCATGGTACTGGTACCAAAACAGAGATATAAACCAATGGAACAGAACAGAGCCCTCAGAAATAATGCCACATATCTACAACCATCTGATCTTTGACAAACCTGACAAAAACAAGAAATGGGGAAAGGATTCCCTATTTAATAAATGGTGCTGGGAAAACTGGCTAGCCATATGTAGAAAGCTGAAACTGGATCCCTTCCTTGTACCTTATACAAAAATTAATTCAAGATGGATTAAAGACTGAAATGTTAGACTGAAAACCATAAAAACCCTAGAAGAAAACCTAGGCAATACCATTCAGGACATAGGCATGGGCAAGGACATCATGTCTAAAACATAAAAAGCAATGGCAACAAAAGCCAAAATTGACAAATGGGATCTAATTAAACTAAAGAGCTTCTGCACAGCAAAAGAAACTCCCATAAGATGGGATGGGAACCTACAGAATGGGAGAAAATTTTTGCAATCTACTCATCTGACAAAGGGCTAATATCCAGAATCTACAATGAACTCAAACAAATTTACAAGAAAAAACAAACAACCCTATCAAAAAGTGGGCGAAGGATATGAACAGACACTTCTCAAAAGAAGACTTTTATGCAGCCAAAAGACACATGAAAATATGTTCATCATCACTGGCCATCAGAGAAATGCAAATCAAAACCACAATGAGATACCATCTCACACCAGTTAGAATGGCGATCATTAAAAAGTCAGAAACAACAGGTGCTGGAGAGGATGTGGAGAAATAGGAACACTTTTACACTGTTGGTGGGACTGTCAACTAATTCAACCATTGTGGAAGACAGTGTGGTGATTCCTCAAGGATCTAGAACTAGAAATACCATTTGACCCAGCCATCCCATTACTGGGTATATACTCAAAGGATTATAAATCATGCTGCTATAAAGACACAGGCACATGTATGTTTATAGCGGCACTATTCACAATAGCGAAGACTTGGAACCAACCCAAATGTCCAACAATGATAGACTGGATTAAGAAAATGTGGCACATATACACCATGGAATACTATGCAGCCATAAAAAAGGATGAGTTCATGTCCTTTGTAGGGACATGGATGAAGCTGGAAACCATCATTCTCAGCAAACTATCACAAGGACAAAAAGCCAAACACCGCATGTTCTTACTCATAGGTGGGAATTGAACAATGAGAACACATGGACACAGGAAGGGGAACATCACACACCGGGGCCTGTTGTGGGGTTGGGGGAGGGGGGAGGAATAGCATTAGGAGATATACCTAATGTAAATGACGAGTTAATGGGTGCAGCACACCAACATGGCACATGTATACATATGGAACAAACCTGCACTTTGTGCACATGTACCCTAAAACTTAAAGTATAATTTAAAAAAAATGAAAAAAAATTCATGTTTTCGTGTAAGTTGAACATTTGCATATCTTGAGATCAAGAGGTATCCCACTCCTAGGTATATATACAAGAAAAATTATTTGACATGTGCACCAGGAGAGATGTACAATAATATTTATAGCACTCTACTTATAATATGAAAAAACTGGAAACAATCCAAATTCCTATTGATAAAAGAATAGAGTATTATTTGACCTGCAGAGAGAGAATTCATGCTTTGAGAGAGGGTTTCAAGAATGGGAATCACACATCTATGGTAGCTATGATTTTAGATGCCATATGTTAAAGGGATGAATGATCTTATCCACTGTCAAATCCCTGAAAAGACCATCAGTAAAACATGTTGAGCAAGAAAAGCTAAGTTTATTAGATTTATGGAAGTAAGGAAAAGCACCGCCATGACAGAATATTAGTAGTGTCTCAGAAGGAAAAAGTCAAGAGAGGCTATTTATGAAATTTTAGTACCTTTCTAGTCACCTCGGCTAGATGACTTCAAGGTGGGTCTACTATGCAGGATGATAACTGGCTTTGGGAAAAGTTTATATTATAGTAGTTTTAATTGGTGGGCACAGAGAGAGGAAGATCTTGAAGAGGGTATTAATGAGTCAGTTGTGAGTCTTCAGAAGTAGAGATTTTTTTTTTTTCTTTTGTTGGTTTATGGTGTTAGCTTTCTGGAGCAACGATTCCTTGGAGCAAGTATCTGAGATATTTTTGCTTGCCCCCAATAAATTATTTAGCAAAAACCAGGAAAAGATGTTTGTTCCAGAGTTTTGAGGCCATGGAAAGTAAGATACGTTTGATTTTGGAATTAACACAAGAATAGGAAAGCATGTTGGTTTCAGTTATTGCCAACTTCCCTTGATAATTCTTCAATCACATTTAAAGGATAGACCATTGCCTTCTGGGGACATGATCAATTCTGATCTTCACCACTGTTTACCATCTTTGGTCACATGTGGAGTTTCTGATGTTTGTTATTCCAACTTTTATACGTGTCAGAGTTTGTTGTGCTTTTTGTTGAAAGATTATTTGTTGGGTCCTTTGATGGAACAGGGGCTGAATAGCAGCACTAAACACTGCGGATGACACAACTGAGCAGTACAACACATAAAATACTATGAGAAGAATTATGGTCCAAGTTTATAGTCCACAGCTAAGCCAAATTAAATAAAAACATGCATATTAAACAAAAATAAAATGTATCACCCCCAATCTGAAGAGATACATAACCGTATTAGCTCAATTATCTAATTTCATGTTATCTTTGTTTCCCAGATTTTTTTGTCATATTAAACATCCAAGAGAGATCTGTAGATGTTTGAGTACAATATTCTTCCCATAAGGCAGCACATGCTCCACCTTGCAAAGGATATACATTATCTACTCAGCTGTGTTCTGAACCACCACCTGCTCCCTTTCATAGAATTCCTCTTAAGTGAGGACTATTTGAAGACAAGTAATGTACAGAGAAAACAGATTGCTGTAAAATTTTCAGGTCATAGCCTGTTGCATCACAAATCCAAAATCCATTATTAGGGACAATCTAATTAAACTTTGGCCCAAGCAGGTCTGACGATATATTGCCGTGGTATAATATAGTAATGTTTTGATCCCACTCATCAAATGTGGTTCTGTGTCAGGTGACAGTCGGTTTAGAATAGATATCATCAGGTGGATTTAAAGCAAGAGAGCTTAGCATTGAGCCTAAGCAGTTCTTCTTTCTTACAATGTCTGTAAAAATGAGACAACTTCCAAATAGCAACTGTTTTTCTAACTCTTTTAGAAACTTTCTTACCATAAAAGTTCTGTTACAAAAGGCATTTCCTGTGAAAGGCACTTGAAACTGTTTCTGTGGAGATAGAAAACCCTCTTAGTATATACAATCCGATAGGGGATTTTTGATTTCTGGCTGGCTCTGCTGTTGAGTGGCTTTCAACCTAAAAAATGCTTTCTACTAGAGTCTAATTACCAAGGAATCCAACTGACTTGTTAAAAGAATGTGTTATCAAAGAAAGCAAAGTGGCACACAAAGAAAAATGAATGCAAAAAATGGTTTATTTGTTTATATATTTTGCCAAGCCATTAATAATAAGTTACATTTTGGTATTGGACTCATACCAAGCAGTGTCTAAGAATAAAAAAAATATGTTTATCATGAGGACAGTATGAGTACCATAACTAATAGATAAAAATGTTTCTTAATAACCCAGAACCTTACAGTAAGTAAAGAGAAAAGAAGCTACCTAAGAATATAGCAAACAAAGCATGAAAATTAAAACATGAGAATCTGTGACTCCAGTTATCTAGATGATGTTCTATGGGTTGTGGGTTGAATTTCTCTACTTCATGCAGATGTCTACTTGCTCTGAAAGCCTTTGATGGGAACTGTTTTCTTCCAATAACTGTTCACTCTTGGAGAATACCAATTTTTAGCTTCATGTCTCCATCTAGGACAAATTTTCAATGGCTGAAAAATGCCTTTATGTCTTTGGGGTCCTGGCTGGAGTAGTGGGGATAGTGTGTACTGAAGGACAAAACTCTTGAGATTTTCTTACTGTGCAACTTAACAGTATCTGATAAGATCATGCCCATCAGGTTTTGGGGGCCATCTTTCTCAGAAGTCTGTTTAGGAGAATTATTTTTCCAGGTTTTAGGTTATGCAAGGTTGCTTAGGAGGATGTTGAGCAAACGGTGCTCATGCCAGTGGATGCTCAGGCTGTTATCTCTTGTATTAGTCCCTTGTAGTATTTTTCCAACTCCACTTACCAGAGGACACAATCTAGAATCAGAGATGCAATTACTACAGCCATGGGATGACCTGCTACTAACTTATAGTGGGAGAGTTAGTGAATCCCAGAAGAAGTTGATTGCATTGTTATTAAAACTAAGATAATACCTTAGGTGATAGAAGCAAAGGGTCATTGAAAACTATGCTAATTTTAGCTGAAGAATACTATTTGTTCTTTCAATATTTTCTTAAGATTAGGGGTAGTATGGGCCGTGAAATTTCTGAGTAAGTGGTAAGGGTTTGCAAAACCTTTCCTGTGACAGGGTCACACATTTTAAAGGATTTTCATTAGCACTAGTTTGGAATTCCCCAGATTGAAAACAAAGAATTAAGCAATACTTCTGCTACTATCAGAGGTATAGCTCTTTGGTAAGGAAAAGCATCAATCCATTCCACTAATAAGTAAGTAATCACTAGAGAATAGTTAAGACCGACTGAGGAAGATGGCCATATGAAAGGCACTTAAACATACTCAGACACCCTGATTCTTGGACCCTTGTTCTTGTCCTGTTTTTCATAGATTTGTCTGGTTAATGGTGGTGATAAGTGAGACAGACACCACAGATGATCGCCAATCTTGGCTGAATACAGTGGCCAATTTGTCCTTGCTGTAATTTTATGTGATTTAAGCCAGTTGCTTACTAAATAAATAAGATCAAACAACAATACCAAGCACTGGAGAGGAATAAAGGAACAAGAATCCTGAGTTGCTGCAATATATTATTTAAATGCTCATTTTTAATTAAAAAAATCCACAAAACTGTGAGACATGCAGAGAAAAAGGAATACATGTCCCATACACGGTGGGGGATGGTGGGGTGACACAGGTAACAGAAACTGCCTGTGAAAGGGACCAGATGTCAGATTTAACAAAGATTTTAAAGCAGCCATTACAAATATATTTAAAGAACTGAAGGAAATAATGTATGATGACAATGCTTAATCAAATAGAGAATATCAATAGCCAGAAATTATAAAAGAAAACCAAATAAAAATTCAGTATTTGAAATGTACAATGACTGAAATGAAGAATTCACAAATGGGCTCAACAATTGATTACAATCTATTTCAACTGACAGAAGAAAGAATTACCAAAGTTGAAGATAGGCTGCTAGCAATGATACAATCTGAAGGACAAGAGGAAAAAAAAAAACAACAATATACAAACAGAGCCTCAGAGACATGTAGAATATCACAAGTGCAGCAACATATTCATAATAAAAATGCCAGAAGGAGGAGAGAGAGAGAGTGGAACAAAAATTTATTCAGAAAAATAATGGCAAAAAATTCCCCAGTTTGATGAAAAACATGCATCTATACCCTCAAGAAACTCAACAAACTCTAAGCAGGAAAAACTCAAAAAGATCTACACCTTGACATATGAGAGTCAAATTTTCCAAAGCCAAATTAAAAAAAAAAAAGAATCTTGAAAACAACAAAAGAAGAATGACTTGTCACTTACAAGGAAACCCCAATAAGATGAACATCTGTATTATCATTAGAAACAATGGAGGCCAGAAAACAATGGAACGACAAATTGAAAGTGGTGAAAGAACAATCTGCCAACCAAGAATCCTATATTTAGCAAAACCATCTTTCAGTAAGGAAGGTAAAATAATTGACATTCCCAGATTTTTAAAAAACGGATAGAATTTGTTGTTAGTAGACCTACTTTAGAAGCAATAAAAGTGGAGTTTTTCAGGTTAAAAGCAAGTGACCCTAGGCAGTAATTCAAACACATGGATACATACACACACACACACACACACACACACACACGCACACACACCCCCAATGGTAAAAGCAGTTATGTAATTATAAATGACACTATAAATACATGTCTCTTTCCTCCTTTTAACTGGATTTAAAAAGCAATCATATAATACAAGTGCATGTAATTGTATTGTTGAGCCTGTAACATATAGAAATGTAATAAATTTGCCAATAGTAGCAGAACAAAAGTGGGTAGGAACAAAGCTATATTAGAGTAAGAAAATGACACCAGATGGTAATTCTAAACCTCAGGGACAGATGAAGAAAACCAGAGATTGTAAACAAAATTAATACAAGAAGCTGTTTACATATGTTCCGCTTTCTTCTCTCAGCTTCTTAAATATACATAAAATTATATGAAATAATATTTATAGCAATGAATTATTGGGATATACCTATATATGTATGTTAATATATGTTTGTATATTACATAAATGTATTTATGTATTATATATTTGTTGAGAAATATATATATTATATAATATATACATTTATATATTATATATTTATTTTTGGCATATAACAACATATCCCAATAAATATTATATATTTATTGTTGAGATATAAAATATTTCCCCCAATATATCTAATATAAATTCATATCTGTTGATAACATATAAAATATATATTAATATATGTTAGGCATAATGTTAGGTTCAACAATAGTAGCACAGAAAAGGGAAGACAGAAATAGAGCTGTATAGCAGTGACATTTCTGTATCTCATTGGAATTAAGTTAGTATAAATTTGGAGTAGATTCTGCCCAGTTAAGATGTACATGGTAAACCCTAAAGTAAGTAACCACTAAGAAAATAATTCAAACAGTATAGTTAAAAATTATTGAAGGAATTACAATGTTACACTAGAATATATTCACTTTACATAAAAGAAATACATGAAAGAAGTATATAGAAACAAAAAGACATGAGACATATCAAAAAAAGTTAATTGGATATAAATCCAATTACACCCATAATAACATTAAGTGTAAGTGGATTAAGCAATCCAATCAAAAGACAGAGACTGTCACACCAACTATAAAGACAAAATTGAATTATAGGCCAGGCGCGGTGGCTCACGCCTGTAATCCCAGCACTTTGGGAGGCTGAGGCGGGTGGATCATGAGGTCAGGAGATCGAGACCATCCTGGCTAACAAGGTGAAACCCCGTCTCTACTAAAAATACAAAAAATTAGCCGGGTGCGGTGGCGGGCGCCTGTAGTCCCAGCTACTCGGGAGGCTGAGGCAGGAGAATGGCGTGAACCCGGGAAGTGGAGCTTGCAGTGAGCTGAGATTGCGCCACTGCAGTCCGCAGTCTGGCCTGGGCGACAGAGCGAGACTCCGTCTCAAAAAAAAAAAAAAAAAAAATTGAATTATATGTTGTGCACAGGAGACATTTTTAATTCAAAGACACAAATAGGCTAAAATTAAGGGGTAAGAAAAGATAGATCATGCAAACAGCAATGATAGGAAAGCAGAATGGCTATACTAATGTGAGATGAAATAAAAAAAAAAAAAAAAAAAAAAAAAAAATGAGGTCAGGAGTTCAAGATCAGCCTGGCCAAAATGATGAAACCCCATCTCTACTAAAAATACAAAAATAAGCCAGGTGTGGTGGCGGGTGCCTGTAGTCCCAGCTACTTGGGAGGCTGAGGCAGGAGAATCACTTGAACCTGGGAGGCGGAGGCTGCAGTGAGCCGGGATCATACCACTGGACTCCAGCCTGGTGACAGAGCGAGACTCCATCTCAAAAAACAAAACCAAACCAAAAACAAAAAAAACCCCTCACAATTGAAGGAAGAAATAGACATTTTGACAATAATGGTTGAAATCTTCAATACCTCAGTTTCAATAATGAAGAGAACAACTAGGCAGAAGATCAATAAGAAAATAGAAGACTCGAACAAAACTATAAACCAGCTAGGCCTAGCAGATAGCTGCGGAAAACCCAATGATATCAGAGTATACATTCTTCTCAAGTGCACATAAAATGTTCTCTGTGACATACTAAGCTAGGTCATATAGAAAGCCACAATAAATTCAAAAGAATCGAAATCATACAAAGTATGTTCCCAACAACAATCAAATGTAATGAGAAATTAATAACAGAAAGTTTAAAAATGTAGAAATTAAAAACACAGATCTAAATAACTACCACAAAAAATATAAAATAATTTCAAATAAATGAAAGTAAGTGGGACGCAGCATGACAAAACTTATGGCATGCAACTAAAGCAGCACTTACAGAGACTTTCATAGCTGTAGGGGAGAGGTCTATATTACATTAGAAGAAAGACCGCAAATCAATAACTTGGATATACAATTTAAGACAATTATAAAAGAACAAACTAAACCTAATTAAGCAGAAGGAAATAAATATCAGTTAGAATGAAAATTAATAACATGGAGAAGAGAAAACAGAGAAAAATTAACAAAAACACACCTGGCTTTTTGAAATCAATAAAGTTGACAAATCCTTAGCCAGACTGACAAAGAAAGAAGAAAACTCAAATTAATAAACATGAATGAAGAGGGGACGTTATTATAGACCTTACAGAAATAGAGAAGTATAAGGAATACTATGAACAATTGTATGCCAGTAGTAGAAAAATATCCTAGAAAGGCTCAGACTATAGAAACTGACTCAGAAGAATTAAAAAATCTGTAAAGATCTATAATAAAAAAAGATTAAATTCATAATTTAAAACTTGAAAAGCCTAGTCCCAGAATTCTACAAAACGTATAGGAAATTAATGTCAATTCTTCACAAACTCTCTAAAAAATAGAAGAGGAGAGAACACTCCTCAATTTATTTTATGAGGCCAGGATTACCCTGATTCCAAAACCAGACAAATATATCACATGAAAAGACAACTACAAACCAATATTTCTTATTAATATAGACTAATATAGGTGACCTGAGTAATCTGTTGAAGTTTTTCTGTAAGATTGTGCCAACCTTCTATACCAGCCTTGGAGCCAATAGCAAAGGTAAATTTATCACCCCATGCCTTATAAATTTCTCTTCCCCATAAATTTCCCCTTACAGACTTACAATAGAAGTAACAAAAATAGAGAGACAGAGGTAAGAACAGATTAACAAGACATGCTCTGCCAAAAATAAGAGTTTTAAATTTTGACGAGGTAATCTAAGGATTCCAAAAGAGGGTTACCCATCCCTAGGGAACAAAGTAAACTTGGTGTTTGGGAGCTTGACAAAAAGAGATCACAGCTCAGGCCCCTGAGTGTGCAGTTCAGGAGGCCTCGGAGGAGCTCTGTGCAGTTGAGTTGTGTTTATTGGGCCACAGTAGCAAGAGGGTCTTGATGAATCCTGGCACAATCTGCAAGATTATCAGTTGTCAATTTCTGCAAAAGACCACCGTGCAATGTGTTGAATAAGCAGAACTAAATGTATTAGACTTACTGAAGGAAGAGAGAATACCATGTTTACAGAGTCTTCATAGTATCTCAGCAGAGAGAAGCTGGGTGTATATTTACAAGGCTGAGGCCTGGGCTGAATGATTTAAGGAGGGCAACTGTTTGGTATTGGAGAGGCTATGATAGCTTTGGATAAGTGGGCACGGTAGGATGGAATTCTTGAAATGAATATCGATGAGTGAGGTGTTTGTTTCAATTAGTAAGTGATCTAAGTTGGTTCTGAGCCTTAGCTATTTTTCTCAGAAAATACTTGCTTCTGGAAGACAAGTTATTTTTGCCACATCTAAGTATTGCTTAACACAGAATAAGAAAAGATGCATTTTCCTAGAATTGTTTGGCACATTGCAGAAATAAACAAAGACCGCCCACCCAAATGAGAACAAACAGAGGCTATTTATTCAGGGCTTGGTACAGCAAGGAAGTCAATTGTCATCACCTTGGCCTGTCTAATACTCAAGGGCAGGCAGTGGAGCAGGACAGATTTATGGTAAAAGAAGAGACGGCTTCAGAAATGCTCTGATTGGAGGTTGTTGGCCTGGGAAAGCTGAAAGTCCACTCACTTAGAAACATGGTATCTTATGTAACTGGTTTTGGCGCCATATTTGGCTTTCTCTGGTTGGTCTGGAGTAGGAAGCAGGAGAACAAATAGGGAAGCTAACAGTCACCTAGCAAGTCCTGACCATTCTGGACCAATTGCTGCAGAGGTTGTGGGTAAAACTTCTAAAACCATAAATCCTGGCCATTGTCATTTGTGTATTAAATCCTGTAACATGGACAGGAAAGCATGTTGGCCTCAGCTCTCAATTGCAATTGGCCCCAAAATGTCTACCTGTAATGAAAACTATGTTTTGAAATTGTGAAACTATTAATAGAAGTGGTCTGAGGCTCTGAATCTCTGAGAATGATTACAGTGTTTTATGAAGCAAACTTAGAGAAGATGAACTTCTTAGCCAGAATTCTTTAAAAGTTTGTAGGATTTTTCATATATAAGAGAGAAGCAGGTGAGTAGGTAGGCTTAATTATATGCAAGCGGGAGACTGCATTATCTTCAGGTGGTGTTAGGTTAGCCATCTGCAAGTGAAGAGATTATTTTCCAAATCTCCTTAGAGTTCCAGATGGAAGTTAGCAATAGAGAGGAAGGTGAGGTGTAGTTAAGCATCCTTGATTAGGTGTGTCCTGATGACTACATGAGTCCAGACGATGATTTCCCCCTGATTTTAGTTCCCTTAATCATAGGCTTCTGTGTTGTTGCACAGTTTCTCCTCCTGCATTTGGCTTTCCTAAGTTAAAATACAATTAGCCCCCTTATTCATCCTGCAAGTTCTCAGAAGTTTTAGTAAAGCCTGTCCTTTTACTCTCTCTAAAATATTAAAGATTAAGCTTCTTTTCTGGATTATACAAATTGAAGGAGCAGATCAAGATTTTCTATTTATTTTCAGATTGCTGAACTCAAACTCATTCATTAAAAAATGAAATATTTCTTCAAAAGGTTTTTACACTGTGAAATTTTGTTCAACTTAAGTCTTGGTTCAATGACAGTGTTACAAATATGCATGACTTATAACTGAAAATTATGAAGACATCAAAAATTATATCTTTACATGATGAGGCTTCTGACTGGCCTAGGATGGTCTTGGAATCCTTTCTGTGCACCCCAAATAATGTGGGATGTACAGGGAATTGCTACATCATTTCTAGCCTGAGTTTTCTCCCTGTACTGTTTCAATCTTCACTGTCCTCAGAACTGCACTATGTCTGGCTTCAGTGGAAGCCTTCAGTCGACGTTTGCATGAGGCAGTTTATACTGTGTGAAGTTTCCACACTGCACAGGCATACCTGCTTGTCTTATATCCCAATGGGTTTTTGAATCTCCAATGGGTCCTTCCTACTCCTCACTGGCTCCTCCCCAGTATGGACTTACCTTTGTCTGTGAGAGATATTTCCAAGCTGTCATCTTCCATTACGAGGAGTGTTATTTGTCATGCCTGGGTATGCGTGTGGGGCCATTGCGCAGCTTAGACTGCTGTGTATCATCCAGTCTGCTTGTGGGTGGCTGCTTTTCATCTATTTTTCATCCAGTTCTCTTCAAAAGAGGGAGCTGCCATTTCCCTGATGACATGGAGCCTCCTTGGCTGTCGTCTTATGCTTGACTCACTCTTCTTTTTTAGGCTGTCAGAGGGTATTCACACTCTACAACAGTATTTATGCCTTCGTCAAAACAGAATCTCTCCTTCAAAAAAGTTACCATTTGGATAAAAAAAAAAAAAAAAAAAAAAAAAAAAAAATTTTTTTTTTTTTTTTTTTTTTTTTTTTTTGAGACGGGGTCTCGCTCTGTTGCCCAGGCTGGAGTGCAGTGGCGCAATCTCGGCTCACTGCAAACTCCACCTCCTGGGTTCACGCCATTCTCCTGCCTCAGCCTCCCAAGTAGCTGGGACTACAGGCACCTGCCATTACGCCTGGCTAATTTTTTTGTATTTTTAGTAGAGATGGGGTTTCACTGTGTGTTAGCCAGGATGGTCTCGATCTCCTGATCTCGTGATCCGCCCGTCTTGGCCTCCCAAAGTGCTGGGATTACAGGTGTGAGCCACCGTACCCGGCCTGGATATATTTTCTTTCTGGATCTTTGATTATACTTATGTTAGAGATTTTGATCATGTCCAATATATATAATATGGCCATTTATGTCTTTTCAATTCCTTTCTTCCCGCAGCTTTAATGAGGTAAAATTGACAAATAAAATTATATATATTCATAGTGTGCAAGGTGATGATTTGATATATATACACATTGTGAACTGTTGACCATAATCAAGCTAATTAAACATATCCATCACTTCACATAGTATTTTTTTTTCTGGTAAGAACATTTAAAATCTACTCTCTTACAAATTTCATGTATTCAATAGAGGATAATTAACTATAGCCACCATGCTGTACATCAGATCTGCAGAATTTATTCGCCCTGCCTAAATGAAATTTTCTACCCTTTGATCAACATCTCCCCATTTTCCCCAATCCCTTTGTCTTTTTGTGCTTTAGTTTGTATATTTTCTAGTGAAAGTAGAAAATATACTTTTCTACTATATATATAGATAAGTATATATACTCTATATCTATATATACATATATACTATATATAATCTATATCTGTATATAATCTATAGCTATATTATAGATATAGATTATATATATAAAATCTCTCTATATGTACACAATCTGTCTATATATCATCTATTGAGTTTTAATTAATTTTAAAATTAATTAAATTAATTAATTAGTACCTTTCAGTGCTAGAGTTTCCATTAGACTATTTCTTTACCTAATTAATTTTAGACCCCAAGTTTCTGGTGAAATTTTGCACCCTTTCCTCTAATTTATTGAACATAATAGTTTTGTTTACATGAAATAACCTGTTTGAGAACTCTGGTATCTGTATCGCCTGTGGGTCTGTTGCTGCTGTCATGGTTTTATACCTGGTTTTTAGTTTTGTAATCGAATACCATAAATGTGTGACTGATGTGAGACATTGTGAAATAAAATTAGCAGAGATCCAGAATAATACTATTTTTTTCTCTGAAGAAGGTTAAGTTTCCCTTCATTAGGCAGATAGTGTATGGACTGATTTATTTCAGTTTTTTCTTTTGCTTGCTTTTTAATTTCCAGAGCTGTCCTAATACAGGGTTCTTACTCCTGGGGTGTGGCTCTTCTGGTCTCAGCTGAGCCTGAGACAGTCAACAGGGCTTCTCCACTTAGGGGCTTAGTGTCTGCAGCGTTGTCCAGCTCTCCACTCTGTGGCCATCCATTGTTTCTTCCGAGAAGTCAGCTGCCAATCTTATTGCTGTTCCTTTGAAGGAAATGCACTTATTTGTTCTCCTGCTGCCTTAATTTTTTTTAACTTTGATTTTCAGGTGTTTACTATAATGGAACTAAGCATTGTAGAGATGTATCTATATCTGTATCTACATCTGTATCCTGCTTGAGATCTGTAGCGCTTCTTAAATCAGTTGGAGTATTTTGTTAGTTTCTAAAAATTCTTGTTGATATCTCCTCTAATATTGTGTCCCCATCTCTCCTTTTTCAATTGAGACCCTAATTACAAGTATGATGTCATTTTTTACCATGTACTATACATTACTTATGCTTTACATCTGTATTTGCCCTCCTCTTATTTTCTCCAACCTTCATTCTCCACACTAAAATTCTACTTACCTGTCCTTCAGCTAGACAAACTCCTCCCTATGTCTAATCCCTTATTACACCCATTTGTATGCTTCTTAATTTATATTATTGCAATGTTCAATTCTGTAATTCCAATTTGAACTCCTTTCCTCTGGTACAGATTAAGGTAGGTGAATTATTTTCTTAATAATTCAAGTTATACAGACAATCCACTGAAATTCCAGGCTGTCTTTGGTAAAACTTTAGCCAAATCTTCAATATGTGGTATCACTGGCACCATAACATTTGTACATATAAAAAGTTGGAAAATGACCTGGGGCTTCACCAGATCATTGGTGATCACCAGATCACATATTCAAATGATGAGGACAAACAATAGAAAAAAATCAGCCCCTAAGAATCTCAGCACTAAACCTCTACATCATCTCTCAGAAACCAATGTTTCTCACTGAGGAAAGGTGAATGGCTTACGTGTCCCTTCAGTATAAGGGAACAGAGAATTGAATTGGTCATATGGGACTCACTTGGCTGACCAATCACTGGGACTCTGGGGAGGTAAGATGTCAGAGGCTCTTTAGGGTGCTGGATACTTGAATGCAGCCCGGTCTGAGCAGCAGGGGGTTCCATCCCGATCTGAGTCGTGGTACCAAAAGCAGTTCAGAAAATCCACCAGAACATCATTATTCGTAAGTCTTGATTTAGAATTTTGCATATGGGGCACAAGAACAATTCTGATGAAGTATTCTAAGTTGGGGTGGGTTGGGGGAGGTGGAGTTTTTATAGAGCTTTAATAAGAGATGCCAGCCAAAGTTCTGCAACTTTTAGGACAGTAGTTGGTTAAAAACAGTTATTCAGAGGAGGAACCCATTGTTCTTGTGGGTTAGCAGCCGCTGGTCAGGTAGGTTAGGGTTAGGGAGAGGGGTGGGAGGAGCAGTTGGTTGGGCTACTGGGGTAGGGGGAGGAACAGGGGAGCCACCGCAGTTACCTGAGCACCTTGGCAGGGACCGTCTGTCGTCCTCCGCATCTCTCGCATCTTCCTCTCCAGTACCTACCACCACCTCATGCATGATGCATTTCATTTTTGTTTAATTTATTACCTGCTTCCTCTGCCCCATAAAAATGTCGGCTACATAGGGTAGAGGTCTTTATCCATTTGGGTCATTGCTGCATCCCCAGCCCCTGTTCCATGCCCAGAACATCACAGATATACAATCCTATTGAATGAATAAAGGAGGAAGAATGGCAGTGCATGGGGAATCTTGTAACGTGGGGGACTCACAATGCTTCCTCCAGAAAGCCTGCCGCATTCTCCCCTCCCCCTTATAATATCACATCTATGCTCTGTGGTCAGGGCAGACGCAGGCCAAGCTGCTCATCAGAAGCTGTGTTATTAGGTTGTTCTAAGCTCTCTGTAAAAGGCCGTTTTCATTTATGTCAGTAGAATTAGGCTACAGGTTATACTTGCAAATGAGATAAAATCACTAGAGAAATCCAAATTTCAACTTGGTATTATTTTAATATATGTAAGAGTTGTATGATTCCAACAATAAAAAAGTATAATTTCCTTCAAATTCAAAGGGCTTGAGAAGATATTTTCATATGAGCAGCCAACGGAATGCAAAATGGAACTAAATGATAAACTTAGATGGAAAGGGCAGCCTTCTGTGAGTAGACAAGTGGACAGGCATCTCCTTTCTACAACGAATCAGTTCCTGAACATCAGAGTTTCTGTGCAAAAATGTCAAATAATGAGAAATAAGCTCCCAATAAATGTACAAAATTAAAACACATTATTAGTCAACTCCCGTAGCTAAAACACAGTCAAATAATTATATATAGGGAACAAACTATTATGTAGAAAGAAAAATGTTACTACCGGATTATGAATTCATACAGTTGTCTTCAGAGAACTGCTTATTAGAACTTCTCATAGTAACATAAAAATCGGAAGCATGTATTCCTTTCCAAAACATCTATATGTGATTCCAATCTTCTAACCACTGTATTTGGAGTGAAACTTGAGACTGTTCCCAAACTCATTTGATAAAAATATCGTATTGGGTTTTGGTTACGTACGTGGCAATGTTTCTTATGTAAGTCTAGGCCCCCAAACTTTGTATTGTGAGATATCGTTGAGCAAGTAACACAGGTTACCACCTCCAGGGCAGAAGTCCCACTGCAGGGAAGAGAGCAAGAGCCCAATAAGGCCGGGGACCAGGAGCAGCAGTCCCAGGTTGAGCCCACTACGTGATTTGCTGGTGTCAGGGTCACCAAGAAAGACACAACTCACACAGGCACTGGATGGAACAGCATTTTGCTCACATAGGGAAAAGACAGAGCAAGATCAGCTTTGATAGTCAGTATTGGTCCCCCGAGGCCTGCAAGTCTCACCCCACAGCCTGAGCAGGAGCTGGTCGGCATGCACCACACCCATCTCGTGCAACAGGCACAAGACCCGTCCCCCGTCCCCCACCCGCAACGCTGTATGACACATGCATGTTTAAACAGAGCAAAGTGCACATCGCTCGTGGAACAGGGAAAGTCATTCCCAAACAAGGCCATGTGCACAGCATGGGCTGAGGCCTCTTGCTCTCCACGTAAGGAAATGTTCCAGGTCCACGGCACACCCTCATGCAGCTGTGTCGGGTCTGCAGGCTGTGCACGACTGTCTTTCTCAACAGGTACTTTACATTCTATGATGCCCAGGTATTAGGAGCCAAAGGTTAGCTGTTGGGAAATGTTAAGCAGAAAGAAGCTCTGTAGTATTGAATTATGTCTCCCTCTTGAAGTAACTGAGTCGTTAATGTAACCACTCCAAACAGATAAGAATTAAATTGACCTTTTCTCAAATCCCTTTGTCCTTACGCAACCTTGAGAAGGTCATGGTCATCCTCTATGGCTCAACATCTTTCATGTCTCGAAGATTTGGAATTAAGTATAATAATATTTTAAATATTATGAACTAATTATACTATTTTATGTTAAGGTAACTTCATGTTTAAATTTGTTTTTACGTGTACTGTTTTGGAGAAGTTGGTCTTTAGAGTGGCAGTCTAAAGTATCCTATTGAAAATCTCACAAGAACATAAATCATATTAGGATAATTAGGAAAATATTATGTTCATTGTGGTTTTAAGCTTAATTGAAATTTTAAGAATTACTTAAGAACCGGGAGGTTTGTCAGACACCTGGAATCCCCAAAAATTTATGAATTCACTTTTAAATGTTCGAAGGTGTTAATTAATGTTTGCAAATAGGAATGAATGTTATTCAGAGGCCCTCTTGGGAGTAATTTTTAGCATTTCTAGACTTAGAATGACAAGACGTAGAAGTTAAATGTAAAAAACTTAAGAACTAGAATTCTGAAATGATAACTCCTGTAAATTAAATAAGTCAAAGCAAACGCTGGATGACTGTTAGGTGTGCAACCCCCCTGAGGCCGTTTGTTTACTGTGATTCTCCTCCCCTTCACTCCTCTTGGATTCTATGCCATCGAGATCTGTTGCCACCTCCTTGAGAATCCTGAGGGGAATGAGTGGGATATGGGCCCAGTGAGAAGATGATTGCTCTGTTGACCTCTTGGGCCTCTTATTGCCTGCAACCCTGCCACCAAATGGAATACATGCAATGTTTAGAAGTTCTCTGTTCTTTAGCCTCTGTGGCTTGAGATGAGGAAGAATAACTTTAACTGTACTAAGTCATTTTCCTTGTTTTGTTTTTGTTTTCTTTGTATTTGGAGGCAGAAGTTTCTTATATGTTTAAGTTTTTCCAGTGATGTCAGAGGCCCTGCTCCCTGATGTCATGCTTTGCGAGAGCTTGCTTCCCTGGCTGTATTAAGGGATTTGAATCTCTTGATTGTTACATATTTGACTTTGAATGTATAACCATGGCATTTTTTTTTAGAAAAATACTTACACATAAGATAATTGTTTTGAAGAACACTGCAGGTTGTTATTCTGTTATGACTGCAGACTTTGTTTTGCTCAAAGCAAATCCACTTGGGCATTACAGAAAAAGAAGAGCATGATGAATGTCCTGTAAGAATCTGTGTTATCTGCCTCTGTGTGAATGCAAAACAACTTGCTTTCCTACCAGGGCTTGTACTTATTCATTGGATTCTTCCTCATTACCTGAGCTGCTAGGTGAATGTTTGGCTGTTGCTTATTTATTTTATAGGATTTTCATTAAGTCTTTGTATATTTCTTAATACAACAATAGAGATTGTAGGTGAGTTTAAAATTATCTGTAATGTTATTTAACAGAATGCATTAAGTTTGAGACAATGACATTATGTAAATATATTGAATGAGTTCTAATCTAGAGTGTGGGGTGCAAATCTCTATGGAAGCAAAATGGAATTTCATGTTGACAGCAGCAGTGCGTTTCCTTTACTTTTATGTGCTGAATTCTGGCTATTTCCAGAATGAGTGCAAAGCAGGTAATTAAAGTTAAAAGTAAAGGTTTGACAATGATGCAAGGATTTTTATGAAACCTCTATACAGTGGCAAGAATCTTCCCTGTAAAGTTTGTATGTTTTGGCACTAGATAAACCTTATTTTTAAAATATTTTAAATTAATTTTAATCTCCCCCCTTTTGTTTTAGTGAATATGTTGGGCATCAGATTAAAATGACATTCTGAAAAATATTCCTTCAGCCATAAGACCCTCGCTGGTTCTAAGAAACCCTCAATGTGTTGTTAAATAAAAACTGCACTGGACAAGATGAGCAAATAGAAGTTGGTTTTATTCCCACACTATGAAGAGCAGCAGGGGAGAGAACACAGACCAAGCCCAGATACTCAGATTTGCTGAAACAAAGGGCAGGGAAATTTTTAAGAGCTGGGGTGGGGCTTGTAGGCCATCTGTGTTTCTAGTTTGCTTCACTCCAAGGGAAAGTAAACTTTCTCCTGTCTTCATGACAGCAGGTAGTTTTACAACTCGGAGCACATTAGGCACCCACCTCCTATGGAGACTGGGAGACAGAGCACCATCTTCCTTGATAATTGCATCTCAAAGGGACAGCTCCCAGGTCCTTGAAAAAGACAGTTCTGGGTTTAGAACTGGCAAGAGGACTTTTGAAAAGATTCACATCTCAAAAGGGAAGAGAAATAACTTACAATTATGACTTCTCTAAAGTAAATGCTCTCAGTAAAGGAAGGTCGGGGCAAGGGTCAGGAAGAAGTCTTCTGAAGTCGTGACCAGCTGAGGGACTGTGAGGGCCACCTTGGTGGGAAGTTTTACTTCTGAACCTCCAGGTTGGTCCTCGACACCCCTAATTTCAGTGTTGCAGACACCAGATGCGAGACAATAGGAAGAGCTGACTGGGTGGTTCAGGACCTGCCACTGGGGACAGTTTCTTCGTCCACCTTTGGTCTTGGGTCCATGCTTCCATGTCCTTCTTGCTCACGGCTGTGACAGGCCACCTGCACTGCTTATGAGGTGATACTCTCCCAGCTGTGCACCAGTCTCTTCCCTGATGCTGGGTCTGGGATTCTGCGAGCCACGTTTCTACATTTCTGCTTTGTCAGTGAGTTCCCAGCGAATGGGGAAGTATCTTCCAGTGGGAGGCCTGGAGGGAGACCGCAGTCCTGAGGAGGAGGGGGGGAGGGGGAGGAGGGGGTCGGGGGAGGGGGAAGAGGAGGGCGGGGGAGGAGGAGGAGGGGGAGGAGGAGGAGTGGGAAGAGGAGGGGGAGGAGGAGGGGGAGGAGGAGGGGGAGGAGGAGGAGGAAGGGCAGCACTGGCTGCGCTCTTCCTGGGGGCTTTCTGTCTGGCTCCCACTCCTGTGAGCATCCACCATCAACACTTTCTCACCCTGGCCACACCAGGAGAACAGATTCCCTCCCTCATCCCCAGTTCAGCAGAAACAGGAAATATCAGTGCAAGGACTGTGCTGTTATCTCGAAAATAGATTTTTGTTGTTGCTGTTGTTACATTAACCTAAAATCTCATCATGTAGAACAGAGCAGTTTCTTTGAGATTCTGCTCAGGTTTCCCTTGAGATTCTGCCTCTTTTACAGATTGCATAAAAAACATCCAGCCATTTGAAAGGGTAAATTTGCCAACTGGAGGGAAGATGATATCTAGTGTGTCCAGGGCACCGCTCCTTGTGACCTGTCAGTCAAGAAATTGTGTGTGTTTTGACACTTCTAACCTCAGCCTTATATTTTGTTTATTAAACTAAATTCATCATAGCATCTTTTTATACCAAAAAGATTTAAAACTAAGCATGAAAGTGTTGGAAACCGTTTTTCACTTAGTCAAGCTCAATACATGCCAATGTCAGCCCCTAAAGAGGAGAGCATTTGCCGTCAGCAGACAAACACTTGGGTAGAATACCAAGCGACTGCAAGTAGATTCTTCTAATTTATAGATGGTTGGTAGACAATTTCTGACAGTCCCCCCACCTCTAAATATATTACTGTTTGTCTATACCTGGAGACTATTCTGTTCTGATTAGTTGGGGGACAACTTAGCCCTCTTGCATCTAAATTCTTGGAAAACCAAATGCGAGTTGAAATTTTAAAAACTGGTTTAAATAAGACATATCCTTCCTGTCACATCAAATTGTGTGAGCTCAAATATATTTCTGTGATTCACTTATGTTTTCTGTCTATCAAATCAAACTCCCAACTGCTTCATTATCAAGCGTTTTTGACCTCTTCAGGAAATGGTTCCATATAACCCTCTAGATTTTTTTTAATGTGAGATGTGGTCGTAGATTTCTGACATTTAATAAGATGGATATGAGTTTGAAAAGGAAGGAAGCTAAAAATGACAAATGCTGTTTTCTAGTGCTGGGACTGAATCATTATTGACGATCATTCCCTTGCATAACATTTCTAAAATGGTACCAAACCAAGAGGCACATATATCAAATGTTAGGGCTAAAATGGATGTTAAAGACTAATCAGTGGCTTTGTAAATGATAAAGGTCATTTTGGATGAAATGATAATTTCGTGTGTGGGCGTTGCAGTGTGGGTTAGAATTATAGAGCTGTTGGCTGCAGCGGCTCTGCAATGTGACGGAAGGAGCAACAAGCTCGAAGGGAGACACCTTGGGCTTGAGTCCTGGCTCTGCCATTGGTAGCTGCGGGAGCCCAGGCAGATATTTAACTTGGCCTCTTGTGCTTCATCTGTTAAATGAGGGTAATGACATCTACTGGATTTGTTATGAGCATGACCAATAAGAGATTCAAAGCACCCGGTACAATTGGTGTCTGGACTATGCAAGTGCTCTAGAAATGGAATTAGGTAAAGTGAAGGAATCACTACTAAGAAATAGCTATGAGGCTGCAAAAAAAATACAGAAAATGGTTTCAAGCATATATATAAAGAATCAACTAATAAAAGAGGAGTTCGAAGAATGATTGTATCAGGAGACTTAAGCAAAAGAAAAATAATTGAAATAAATTTCATCTTTATGGATACCAAGTAAAAGTTATAGATTTCTTACTATTTAATAAAAGTGTAATATGACATAGCCAAAGAGACTAAAAAATCCTCAAATTTCAAACTAAAGAGTAGTTTTGAGTCTTTATGTTAAAGCAATTGAAAATCCAAATTAAGGACAAGCAACGGTTAAGGGAATGTGAAAAATAAACCATGTACTAGACTCAAAATGAGTTTCCACAGGAAAGATTTGAGTCTCAGCCTCCTAAGAAAAAGAATAGGAGGCCAGGCGCGGTGGCTCACTCCGGTAATCCCAGCACTTTGGGAGGCCGAGGCGGGTAGATCACGAGGTTGGGAGTTCGAGACCAGCCTGGCCAACATAGTGGAACCCCCGTCTCTACTAAAAATACAAAAAAATTAGCCAGGCATGGTGGCGTGTGCCTGTAATCCCAGCTACTCTTGAGGCTGAGGCAGGAGAATTGCTTGAACCCAGAAGGTGGAGGTTGCAGTGAGCTGAGATCGCACCATTGCACTCCAGCCTGGGAAACAAGAGTGAAACTCCGTCTCAAAAAAAAAAGAATAGGAATACGGAAATGAAAGTCCTCTACAGACATCTATTAGCCTCTGCTTGCCTTTTCTTCCCAAAGTCATGGGGTCTGAATGAGGGCAGTAATTTTAATTGTCTTAGCCTATATAGGCAGTAATTTTAATTGTCTTACCCTATATGGCACTATTCTTCTCTTAAAGAACGTGAACTGTAGCACAGAGCAGCTCAATCTTTCAAGCTTTTTGGTTAACCTAATTATTCTAAACCTACTCCTATAGTTGTTGAAAGGACTAAGATTTTATCTGAGTGACATTCTCTGTAGTGTTCCAATGGGACTGACACTTAAGGGTTTTAGTTAAAGGGACAGATTTGACAAAATGGACCTTGTGAAACATATACATCTATAACGCCATTGTTACTTTTAAAAACATTTTGATATATAGAATTTCATTTTATTCTTACATCCTACCCATTTTGTAGATGAGGGATATAAAAAGGAAAGGACAGAGAGGTTGGTTCTGTGATTTGAGTTTCTGCCAGTTTTCTCCACACCGATGAGCTATTTTCTTAACTTCTATATGACCAAGAATTCCCACTCCTAGGTATGTGACCAAATTTACTGAAAATATTTATTCAGACAACACTTGTATGTGAATGTTCATAGCAGAACTATTCACAATGGCCAAAAAAGTGGAAATAACCCAATATCCATCAATAGAGGAGTAAATCTGATCTTAGCCAAGGTCCTTATTTGCTTTCTTTTCTCCAGAGACCACTGTCTTCCTTTTTCTCTCAATGCCCAATGCCTGGAAAAGGTTGTGTCCTGTGTGTTATTCATTCATTACCTGCCCCAGTGTTAACTAAGATACCAGCAGAAAAAGGCTGCAAGTGGTTATAACTCCAAGATATGTTTGCATTTTTGTATGAACTTGAACTTCCTAGAGTTCCTAGGGCAGGTGTTGACATCTCAACCTCAAGTGTTCTTTAGTGTTTCTTATTCATGATGGCCACTTGAGTTCACGTCTTTATCTCCCTTCTCCATCAAAATCACTTTAAAGTTACCATAAAGAAGTACAAAAATAACTTCTAATGAGAGCCTTATCAGAAGATCAGAAATTTTGGGAAATTCCTTAAAGATGGGAAGAGGATGGGATCCTACTTGTAGGTAAACAAAGCCAAGGAAGCTCCAGTATGAGCAAGCTGGAGAAAGCCACAGGGAAGGAGGGAGCTGGTCTCGCTGGGAGGACTCTGGGCACGTTACAAGCATGGAATCAACAGGTCTATAGAGGTGAGTGGGGAAGGGGAAATTCACACTGAATAGTTAGACTTCCTCCTGCAGAGCAGCTGTGCCACTGACTTACCCCAAACCCATTGAGACCTGGTAGTAAGCACTTAGACCCAGGCACAAACCAGTGACACCATTTCTGAAGACGTGGGACCTCTTCCTAGAGTTCCTAGGATGGGTGTTGGCATCTCAATGTAAAGTGTCCTTATTTTGCCATTGACAGTGAGATTGTCCTAATTGCCTGGTGCCCTAAAGTGGAACCTGCCATATAACACACCTCGCCGGTAACACACAAAGCTCAGTCACTCTCATTAAGGCAAGGATCAGTAGCAGATGGAATCCGCTCCGGTTACCTATATGAACTGTCTTAGTCATTTAGTGTTGCTATAAAGGAACATCTGAGGCTGGGTAATTTATAAGGAAAAGAGGTTTATTTGGCTCATGGTTCTGCAGGCTGTACAAGAAGCATGGCACCAGCTTCTGCTTCAGGTGAGGGCCTCAGGAAGCTCACAATCACAGTAGAAGATGAAGAGGAAGCAGCATGTACAGAGATCACATGGTGAGAGAGGACGCAGAGGGGAAGGTGCCAGGCTCTTTTTAACAACAAGCTCTTGCAAGAACTAATGAGTGAGAACCCACTAATTACTTGGAAAGCACCAAGACATTGATGAGTGATCCACCCTCATGACCCAAACACCTGTTATTAAGACCCACGACCAACACTGAGAGTCAAAATTTTAATGTGAGGTTTTGGTGGAGGACAAACATTCAAACTGTAGCACTAACTGATCAGATCAGTAGTTAATACATATGAACAGACAATCTTCATTTCTTTTGTGATGTTTATTTTACTCAGAGAACAATTAACTACGGGCAAAAATTAATCTTTTGGAGGACACTATCAACAATATGTTTTTAAATGTTTTCTATTGCCTGAATTTGCTTTGAGAAAATATTGCATTTGGCACAAAAGACTCCCTATGAAAAAGGAAAAATGTCTTGTCTTGTATAAATATGATTGCCAAAATGAGCAATTCAGAGCAAGAGGTGAAAGAAAATGTGATGAACAATTTTCAGAGCATAGAGCAGAAAAGGCTGAGAGATGGAGGATATGATAGCAAAGTCAAGGTCCTGGTAAACTAATCCATGGGATCAATCATATAATGGGAGTTCAAGAAAGAGAGAAGAGAATGAATATAGGAGAGGAAATGTAAAACAGTAAAACTTCCCTACATTGAGAAAAGGTGAAAGGCTTCTATTAAAAGGACCCAGGATGCTGACAATGTGAATGGAAAGGAATCTGATAGCTAGATATATCATAATTAAAATGTAAGAAACCAGGCACAAATAAAACATCCTAAAAGCTCCAGAGAGAATCAAATTAAGCACACACACCATTTTCTGCAAAGAATAAGAATATGATTATCAGAACTGTTGTGAAGAAATGAGACAAGTACTTTTTTTTTTTTTTTTTTTTTGAGACGGAGTCTTGCTCTCTTACCCAGGCTGGAGTGCACACTTTTTTTTGATACAATACAACTTTATTTACAACAGAGGGCCACATTTGGCCCATAGGCTATTGGTTTCTGGCCTCTGCTCTTGGCTGTGAACATTCTTTTTAAAAAAATTTTAGTTGACTCATAATAATTGTACTGATTTATGAGATACAGAGTGATATTTTGATACATGTATATAGTGTGTAATGATCTAATTAAGGTAGTTAGCATACCCTTCACCTTGAACACTTACCATTTCTTTGTGTTGTGAACATTCAAAATCCTCTCTTCTAGCTTTTTGGAAATATCCATTAAATTATTATTAATCATATTCCCCATACAGTGCTACAGAACACTAGAATTTATGCCTCACGTCTAGCTGTAACTTGAGACAAATACTTTTAAACCTAGGGGAAATGATTTAAAATACAGAATTCTTTACCAGTCAAAACAGCCAGTGATAAGGCAAAATAAAGCATTTCCCATATGTAAAGATTCGGAAAAGTTATTTCTCACTTTGTCCTCTGGGAAACAAACCAACCGACCAAGAGTGTGCTCATGCAAAATGCCAAGTGATACAACAGTAAATCTAACTGAGGTCTGCAGAGGGAGAGAGGTCCCAGGAACAGGGGAGTGAAGTGGACCTAGAAGATGCCTAGTCCAGATTAGAGCAGGAAGACAAGGGATTTGGAGGGAAAAGGTAAAAGAGTGAAGCAAAGAGTTTGGTTAGGAAAGCGGTGATCTATGGAATGGTGATGTCATATCTTCTTTTGTACCAAAAATCCTAGAAAAAAAATAACAGCTTTCTAAGGAAGTTAGAGCCTAGGTTAAAGCAAACTAAAACATAGCAAGATTTTGAGCACGTTGTGGGTGTAAGAAAATAAAATCTCTTTTATCTGTGTTTTTGGAACAATTTATTTTGTATGACACTTTTAATAGCACAGATTACATTTCCTCCTTGATAAGGCCAGTTTAACTACTTGATTCTATGGTAGCCAGTCTTTGCACTATCAATATTATAAATAATATAATCAATATTATAAATAATGCTGTGTTGATTTTTCATAATTGGAAACAATTTACAGAGAAAGCCTGAGAGATTTAATATTTACACATTATTTTGTATCTCCAGTTGTTAATCTTTACACTAAATATAGTTATAACACTGTATGTTTTTGGGAAGTAAAATGAATGAAGGGAGCTGGAAGAGCCTGTACAGGCACTGAGTTTCTTATTTTATATAACAGAGAATCAAGAGACAATCAAATTGAGGGCCCCAAAATAGAAGTTTAAGTGTTTTTTAAAGCTCTATAAATAATCAGTGATAGAATTGAAACTAATAAGATGTAAAAATTAGAAGGAACAGGAAGGGGAAAATGAGGAGTAGTGGGGAGTAAACAGATGTTACTAAAATGCATAAATCATAAGTATATGATGGCCACATATTGAGAGGCTGTAGACAAAGTGGTTCCAGACAGACTCTGGAGCCAGACTTCCTGCGTTCGAGTCCTACCCTACCCAATGATTATTGTGCCACCTTACGGGGTTTTTGTGAGGACTAATATACTACTGTATATAAATGCATGTGTTATGTAATACACATAAAATATGTAATAAATGTTCACTATTATTAGGTAGCATTGTAAAGATTATGCCAGAGGCAGTCTAATGGTACATAATCTTTGTAATATCAAATAGTAATTATTTGAGCAATTACTTTTAAAATATGGAAGGCAGATGGGAAAGTGGGGTCTATGGCAGAGGATATTGATCCTTTAACTTTTCTCTCCTGTTTGAATTTTCATTATATGCATGTATTATTGTAACGAAAATATTTCTTTGGGTCTTAAGGACATTCAGCTATAATATTGTGGGTATTGCAAAAGTCAGTATTCACTGATACTGGATATTTAGAAGCAGAAAGAGATTACTCATCTTGCAAGAAATAACTGGCAAGGCAGTAGAGGGCCTGTGAAAAAGAAGCATTTTATTTCTCTGAGACCAGACAAATGACAAGACAAAGAGAGAGGTCAAGATGGCAGAGTGTCTGGCTTCTTTACTCATGAATGTGAGGCATTTTCTCCGTCATGCACTGAACGTGGAGAGAATGGCCCTGGGCAGAAATCAAAACACGTGGCAGTTCCGGTAGCTCCAGGCTTTGGCAGTCTGGATGATGACACATCCTTTGAAACACCCGTAACCATACACTTGGCTTGACCTGAGAGTTGCAGGACTGGGGCTTGTTTGAGAATCAAATGTATGAGATACCCTGAGAACTACCCGAAATACTTGTGCAGGTTGACCAGAGAGCTCCGACATTGCTGAGCTCTCACATAATCTAAGTAGTGCCATGGACCGTGGGTGTAAATGCTCATATGATCTTCAGTGGACCTGCAGGTTCGTGAGGCCAGGGAAAATGCATGTTCCTTTCCTAACACCATCACTGTCTCCTCTTGGATTATTCCTGAGGGCGATTAATCTGTCTTTCTCTCTCCAGACTCATCCAACAGATCCTGTCCTCAGAATTGGAGCGAGAGCATCTTCCTAAAATGCACCTCTGAAAATGCACCTCTGCATCATTTTCAGAGGTGCATTTTTCAGAAGTGCATTTCAGAGGTGCATATATATGTATTAGAAGATGCTATGTTTTCAGTATTTGCAGGAAAATTCCTTTAATGAAAAAGACTGATCTTAGTTGAGAATATGTCTTGATAAGTCCACTGTGTGGAAGCAGTACCTTTGTGTGCGTGTGTGTGTGCGTGTGTCTGTGTGTTTGTGTGTGTGTGAGTGTATGTGTATGTGAGTGTGTGTATGTGTGAGAGTGTGTGAGTGTAGAAGTGTGTGCATGTTTGTGCGTGTGTGTGTGTGTATAAGAGAAGGAATGAATGAAGAAGGAGTAGGGAAAGTGAGCATGGGGTGGGAGAGTGGAACTACCACTCTTTAGGTTTCACAGTAGGAGAAATTTTTGTTTTCTCCAAAATTTTCTCAGTATTTGTTGAAAAATGATAAAAATCAATATTTTGATCACAAGATTCTTGCTGACTGGCTTTTCGATAAATGAAATATAATTGTCAGTCACCCCTTGTTCTTCCTTATAAGGCTGGTCCTTCTGGGAAGACAGGTGGTCACATTCCTGCACTCACAGCGCCATTCATGAGATTAGTAGCAACACTGTTTCCTCTGCAAATGCCCCTGGTGCTTCCCACGGAGCCCCTGTTGACTTGGGCAGAGATTCTCTAGTAGGGGAAGTGAGGGGAGGGGAAGTCAAACATACCATCGCAGCAGATGGGCACCTTTGTGTCCAGACCTGGTGTCCTGTAAGGTTGATGTTGAGGACACTGAGTTGCACCCCACCTGTACAAGGTGCTTCAGAGATTTTCTTCTATCCCATTTCACTTACATCACCCTGGCTCCGGAAGGCATGCTAATCTGAGTGTGGTGACCTCAGTTACACTTTTGCCCTCTAACAGCTTAGTTGAGAAACTAATTAGTTTTTCAGGTTAGTGAACTTGCAGCTTGCTGACTGTCATGAAATATGACACAGAATAAGTAAATGGAGAGGGAAGAGGATGAAATGTGAGCTGCAACTTTCCTTACAGCGGCTTTAGTAAGGGGACCAGAAGTATTGCAATGATGTGGAAATGTGTAGTTACCAAGTCCTTCTGTCTTCTATTTATCCTGAATCACCTGATTTTAACCCCACTGACAAATAGCCCAGGGCCTCTAAGATTGAAACCAGGAGTCTTCAATTCAATCCAGTTCAATTCAATTCAATTCAGCACAATCTTAGAACAAACAAAATCTGTTTTTGACCTCCAGCTCAAAGCCAGTCAGTGAGAAACTCAGGGACCTCTGGTGGGTTACTATGCATGGTGTCTGCATGTGGCAATAACTGGGTAACCTAGAGCACAGGTCTTGGGTCTGAGACCTCAGCAACCTGGCTGGTGTGGAGTAGAATGGGGATGGGGAGACCAACCCAGTTGCAAGTCTAATCCCATTATGCACAGTTAGGCAATCTGGTGAACAGCATTTGATGTATTGGCAAACTGAGCTATGATCCAGGTAGGTGCTAATATCAGAGACAGCCAAATCCACAGGCAGAATATGGCAACAGGGAGAACCTCAGCATCGGGGGGAACCTGAGCAGGAGGGAGATCCTGGGCAGGGGGAGAACCCGAGCAGGAGGGGAACCCAAGCAGTGGGGACAGCCTGAGCAGCAGGGAGAAACCAGGCAGCGGGGAGAACCCAGGAAGCGGGGAGAACCCAGGAAGTGGGGAGAACCCAGGAAGTGGGGAGAACCCAGGAAGCGGGGAGAACCGGGGCAGTGGGGAGAACCGGGGCATGGGGGAGAACCTGGGCAGTGGGGAGAACTCAGGCAGGGGGTAGAACATGGGCAAGGGGGTAGAACACAGGCAGCGGAGAGAAGCTGAAGTCAGGTGGCCAGGGCTCGATGCTGCCAGGTGGTCAGCAGGCTCCTGGCACAGTCCTGGTCTGGCCCTCGAGCTGTGAGAGCACTGTCTTTTGAAAAGGCTTATACACTGGACTGGGCATGGTGGCTCACGTCTGTAATCCCAGCACTTTGGGATGCCGAGGCAGGTGGATCACCTGAGGTCAGGAGTTCAAGACCAGCCTGGCCAACATGGTGAAAACCTGTCTCTACTAAAAACACAAAAAACCAGCTGGGTGTGGTGGCACACACCTGTAGTCCCAGCTACTCGGGAGGCTGAGGCAGGAGAACCACTTGAACCCGGGAGGTAGTGGTTGCAATGATCTGAGATCGTGCCATTGCACTCCAGCCTGGCAACAGAGCAAGACTCCAACTCAAAAAAACAAAACAAAACAAACAAAAAAGCAAAGGCTTATACTCTGCTGCCAGTCATTGTGGGTTGTCTTTGCAGTAGACAGAAACAAAAGTACCAACCCCCAAACCTTTGTTTTTGTAGAGGAGATCTATTAGACTTATTGAAATAATATATGGTAGATATAAATGTTTATAATGTGGTAGTATGGACATTTTTGGATGTCCCCCTCCCTTGTCTTTGAGGCATTGGAAAAATGGAATGCAAACATTTCCTTTTGCCTCATGAGGTGGCCTGAACCCTGAGGCCTTTCTGATTTGGAGAAAAAATAGCCTAGATTTTTTTTTTCTAGTTCCAGGGTTGATGAGCCATCAGAGTCTACTGTGAAAGAATAGGCATAGAGAGGCTAGGGTTTAATGGATACAAATATGCTTGGAAAAGCAGGAGATAGAGAGAGCTGGAGTCCTGAGACAAGGGGAAAGGCCGGCACTGTGACTGGACTCTGCCTTCCGAGAAGAGGAGGAGGAGGAAACACCAAAGGTGCGGGCTTGCCATTCTTGTCACAGACTTCTGTGCCCAGACATGACACAGGAGCAGGTCCATGTTAGGGGAACTTGAGCCATCATTAAGGGGCAAGAAAAGTCAGCCACCGGCTGCCATTATAATGACTATTTTGTGCCGGCAGGAGCAGTGGACATCTCCGGAGGGAGCCACCTGAACAGATGCTGGCTGTCTCGTGCCGAGGCCCCGCGCCAGATCACAGAACTGTGAAGTGATCCTGGGCAGAGGTGAACAAGAATGGCTGACGTTGACTTGTGTTTCATACCATTTCAGAAAGATGGGAGCTCATCATTGAAATTAAGTTAAATTGTAGAAAATAAGGAATTTTGGAACTTCTTAGACAAGATGCAATAATTATACTGTTTCCTGGTGGAGGTCTTGCCCTTCTCCTCCCTTCCTTTATTTTTATTGCTGTAGCGTGGATTTGGACCTATTTTTCTTTTAGTCTGTGGTCACAGAGGGTTCAGAAGTGTAGCTGTGCTTGTGAAGACACATGCATTCCAGACTTCCTAATTAGATGCTTTCTTGTCACACTTTAAAACCCCTGCACTATTGGGAAGTGCCTGCCGAAAGGTCAGCCCATCACTCCTTGGTTACCTTCCGCAGTGACATGATATTTCTTTCACTGGCAACGAATGAGAAAGGGGTGGTGCAGTCAGATATTAAGGGAACCAGAGCTATCTTCAAGGAGCAGGAAAAGTCAGCCATTGGCTGCCGTTATAGCTTGGGAAATGACTGGACGAGGAAAGTCTATTTCAAACAGATGATTACAAAACCTCACTAAAGCCAGTGCACGCTGGTGTGCGTCACAAATTGGCCTAGGAACAGCACTGGGGCATATACATTGTGGAAGTCAAGAAGTGAAGATTACACGTGATCTGATTTCCCATAAAAAGACTCTCTTAGTTCTACACATTTAGAACCAAGATCTGTTTTCCTCACCTGCTCTTTTGCCAGATGCAAAGACCCCTCGGCCACTCCCCAGCCTCTGTGTGTGTGTGTTTAGCATTTGTGAACCTCTCTGACCTCTTATCTTTTCAGGCTAATGAATTGAATACCTCTTTGAGGGCAGGATAGAGAAGAAGGCTGAATTGGGGAGCCTTGTAAACTGAAGGGAGACAGCTTGGTCTGGAAGGAAAACGGGTATTAAAATGTCAACCAGTATCCAGTGTCCAATGGGCAGGGGCTGGGCCTTGCCTGCTTTTGTGTCATGCATGGGTAAAGTCGTATCTAAATATTTAATCTCTTTTGGCTTTTACTCCTTCCCCCTCCAATCCCACTTCCTTTAATTTAATTTTTATTTATTTAGTTTTTAGCTTTTAGGATCCCAGGGTAAATAAGTTCCATACCTTGGGAAATTGCATAACAGAAAGAACACACTTAGCGTGATCACTGTTTCATTGTGTTCAGTTGTATTTAGGACCAAGACATCTGACAGCATCACTGGGCCTTCTTTCAGAGAACAATTGGCACACTTGAATGCAACGGAGTGGATAGGTGACAGCTCCTTCCCACGGCAGCTGTGGCAGCTCCAGCTTTCTGTCTAATCAAATTAGTTCCTCTCTGCACTCAAACAAGTCAGAAGCAATCATCTCCGAATCCACGCGCAGTGAGCAAATGCAAACACTGTCATGGTGTGACGCTAGTAGGACAAGAGGTGAAGGCTGCTAATAAATACAGACATACCATGTGGCTATAATAAGCCACTTAGAAAAATAGTGGATATAGATTTTCTGTCTTTTACTTAATCTATTTTCTTTCCCACAAGGGAGAGACCAGGCAGCTATCGAGGGAGGATAAATGCACTTGCGTTGTGGACGCTCTGCTTCTCTGCTATTCCCATTGTTTTCCCGGTGGAGATGGCACCAGTCTCTAGCCATTACTGGGCCTATTGTCTCCCCATAGGTTTCCTAGAGTCACTAGCTCTGGATAGCCCATTTAGCAGTATCACCAATGCCACTTGGCTTCTGTATGATGAGAGCAGGGAGTCAGCTACGATAAAGGAAGCCTGTTTTGAGAGACTTCTCCTAATATTAACAAGTACAAAGGAATAATGGATTTGAGAAGCAGAAACATGACCCATTGGAATTTGACCTTGAATGCAATTTAGGGTTAGTTGGAACTAGTGTTATTTAAAAATAAACTATTCTTTCTCCAAGGTAGTATGAGAAAAGTTAGGTTGGAGTTTGGAAATAAAGCAAGGCATTTTTTTAATTAAAAAAAGCTTTATTGAGATATAAGTCATATATCATACAATTTGCCCTTTTAAATCAACATTCAATGGTTTTTAGTGTGTTCAGAGTTGTACAATCATTACCATAAGCAATTTTAGACCATTTTCATCACCCAAAACAGTAATTCCATAACCATTAGTATTATTCCCCATTTCTCTTCTCCTACCCTACCTATCCCACTACTGGGTATATATCCAAAGAAAAGGAAATCAGTATGTTAAAGAGATGTTTGCACTCCTGTGTTTATTGTAGTACTATTCACCATAGCCAAGAAATGGGGTCAACATACGCGTCCATCAGTGGATGGGTGAATAAAGAAAATGTGGTGGCGGGGTTCGGTGGCTCACGCCGGTAATCCCAGCACTTTGGGGGGCCAAGGCAGGCAGATCATGAGGTCAAGAGATCGAGACTATCCTGGCCAACATGGTAAAACCCAGTCTCTACTAAAAATACAAAAATTAGCTGGGCTTGGTGGCACATGCCTGTAGTCCCAGCTACTCGGGAGGGTGAGGCAGGAGAATTGCTTGAACCCAGGAGGCAGAGGTTGCAGTGAGCCGAGATTGGGCCATTGCACTCCAGCCTGGGTGACAGAGTGAGACTCCATCTCAAAAAAAAAAAAAAAAAAAAAAAGAACAAAATCCTTTATTGTAGAAATCTTTTGTTACAACACGGGTAAACATGGAGGACATTAAGTAATATAAGCCAGAGACAGAAAGCAGGGCATTTTTGAAATAAGAAAACCAAATAAGAGGAAGCAAAGAAACACTGGAAAAAATAAAATCAGTGATAGTTTTCTCTAATACTTGTATTTATTTAACAAAGCTTAATTTATTAAGTGAGTCTATGCCAAGCAAGGCACTTTAAATGAATAAATCAATGGCCAAGTTAGCAAGCAGTGCTTTAGAAAAAAGGAGTAATGAAAACAATTGTTTCTATTTCCATTGAAGTAGTAAATGTTAATGAGATGTTGTGCAGCAGATTATCTTATACTAATTTCTTCACTCTCTTATCCTGGCAAGTAGCCTTCTGTGAGCTGGAATGGGGAGAGTTTATTTCTTTGCCCTATAAAGGTTGGGCTTGACCATGTGACTTGGCTTGGCCAATACAATTTTAATGAACTTGGTGTGAGAGCTTAAATGTGCTTGAGTAGGACTTTTTTTTTTGCTTCTCTCTGTCACTATTTATAGAATTTTTTAACATAAATATATCATGTTATGTTATGATCTACTACCTAGAAAACCCAAAAGACTCCTTGAAAAGACTCCTAGATTTGATAAATGAATTCAATAAAATTTCAGGATCCAAAATCAACATACTTCAGTAGTTTGACTTGGCCTCTTGCACTCCTGTGATCCATCGTTAGAAGAACATGACCCAGATAGCTGCTGGTCCAAAGAGAATGTGGAGACAAGTGGGATATAACAGAACTCAATAAAAAGCCTAGAGCCATGTCCAGTTGACTCATGGCCAAAAACAGAGTTGCGCTAGGTGGCCAATTGTCTCATGAGCAAGAAAAAATATAAATGCATGTTGCAAGCACTTAAGTTTTGCAGTGGTTTGTTACACAGCACTAGTGCAGTGATAGCTGACTAATACACCTTTCAAATTAAAGTTAATCAAATGGTCAGCATAATATTAAAAAGATTAAGTTTTGAGACAAGCATGTGGCTGATGCATTGTTGGTCTTTACTGACAAAAACTGTAATTTTAGTTTTGAAATCATTGGAAAGCCTTTTATAGCTATTAGGTTGGTGCAAATGTAATTGCAGTTTTTGCCATTAAAGATCAAAAAAGACAAAGAAGGGCATTACATAATGGAAAGGGGTCAATTCAACAAGGAGAAAGAAGAGCTAACTATCCTAAATATATATGCACCCAATACAGGAGAACCCAGATACATAAAGCAAGTCCTTAGAGACCGGCAAAGAGACTTAGACTTCCACACAATAATAATGGGAGACCTTAACATCCCACTGTCAATATTAGATCAATGAGACAGAAGGTTAACAAAGATATCCAGGACTTGAGCTCAGCTCTGCACCAAGTGGACCTAATAGACATCTACAGAACTCTCCATGCCAAGTCAATAGAGTATACATTCTTCTCAGCACCACATTGCACTTATTCTAAAATTGAACACATAATTGGAAGTAAAGCACTCCTCAGCAAATGTAAAAGAACAGAAATCACAACAAATCGTCTCTCAGACCACAGTGCAATCAAATTAGAACTCAGGATTAAGAAACTCACTCAAAACCGGACAACTACATGGAAACTGAACAACGTGCTCCTGAATGACTACTGGGTACATAACGAAATGAAGGCAGAAATGAAGATGTCCTTTGAAACCAATGAGAACAAAGACACAGTGTACCAGAATCTCTGGGACACATTTAAAGCAGTGTGCAGATGAAAATTTATAGCACTAAATGCCCACAAGAGAAAGCAGGAAAGATCTAAAATTGACACCCTAACATCACAATTAAAAGAACTAGAGAAGCAAGAGCAAACACATTCAAAAGCTAGCAGAAGGCAAGAAATAACTAAGATCAGAGCAGAACTGAAGGAGATAGAGACACAAAAAACCCTTCAAAAAAATCAATGACTCCAGGAGCTGGTTTTTCGAAAAGAGCAGCAAAATTGATAGACCACTAGCAAGACTAATAAAGAAGAAAGGAGAGAAGACTCAAATAGACATAATAAAAAATGATAAAGGGGATATCACCACCGATCCCACAGAAATACAAACTACCATCAGAGAATACTATAAACACCTCTATGCAAATAAACTAGAAAATCTAGAAGAAATGGATAAATTCCTGGACACATACACCCTCCCATGACTAAACCAGGAAGAAGTTGAATCTCTGAATAGACCAATAACAGGCTGTGAAATTGAGGCAATAATTAATAGCCTACCAACCAAAAAAAGTTCAGGACCAGATGGATTCACAGCCGAATTCTACCAGAGGTACAAAGAGGAGCTGGTACCATTCCTTCTGCAACTATTCCAATGAATAGAAAAAGAGGGAATCCTCCCTAACTCATTTTATGAGGTCAGCATCATCCTGATACCCAAGCCTGGCAGAGACACAATAAAAAAAGAGAATTTTAGACCAATATCCCTGATGAACATGGATGCAAAAATCCTCAATAAAATACTGGCAAACCAAATCTAGTAGCACATCGAAAAGCTTGTCTACCACGATCAAGTCGGCTTCATCCCTGGGATGCAAGGGTGGTTCAAGGATACGCAAATCAATAAATGTAATCCATCACATAAACAGATCCAATGACAAAACCACATGATTATCTCGATGCAGAAAAGGCCTTCAGCAAAATTCAACAGCCCTTCATGCTAAAAACTCTTAATAAACTAAGTATTGATGGAATATATAAAAAAATAATAAGAGCTATTTATGACAAACCCACAGCCAATATCATACTGAATGGGCAAAAACTGGAAGCATTCCCTTTGAAAACTGGCACAAGACAAGGGCGCCCTCTCTCACCACTCCTATTCAACATAGTGGTGGAAGCTCTGGCTAGGGCAATCAGGCAGGAGAAAGGAATAAAGAGTATTCAATTAGGAAAAGAGGAAGTCAAATTGTCCCTATTTGCAAATGACATGATTGAATATTTAGAAAACCCCATCATCTCAGCTCAAAACCTCCTTAAGCTGATAAGCAACTTCAGAAAAGCCTCAGGATACAAAATCAATATGCAAAAATCACAAGCATTCTTATACACCAATAACAGACAAACAGAGAGCCAAATCATGAGTGAACTCCCAGTCACAATTGCTTCAAAGAGAATAAAATACCTAGGAATCCAACTTACAAGGCATGTGAAGGACCTCTTCAAGGAGAACTACAAACCACTGCTCAATGAAATAAAAGAGGATACAAAGAAATGGAAGAACATTCCATGCTCATGGGTAGGAAGAATCAATATCATGAAAATGGCCATACTGCCCAAGGTAATTTATAGATTCAATGCCATCCCCATCAAACTACCAATGACTTTCTTCACAGAATTGGAGAATACTTTAAAGTTCATAGGGAACCAAAAAAGAGCCCGCATTGCCAAGACAATCTAAGCCAAAAGAACAAAGCTGGAGGCATCATGCTACCTGACTTCAAACTATACTACAAGGCTACAGTAACCAAAACAGCATGGTACTGGTACCAAAACAGAGACATAAACCAATGGAACAGAACAGAGGCCTCAGAAATAACACCACACATCTACAACCATCTGAGCTTTGACAAACCTGACAAAAACAAGAAATGGGGAAAGGATTCCCTACTTAATAAATGGTGCTGGGAAAACTGGCTAGCCATATGTAGAAAGCTGAAACTGGATCCCTTCCTTGTACCTTATACAAAAATTAATTCAAGATGGATTAAAGACTTACGTGTTAGACCTCATACCACAAAAACCCTATAAGAAAACCTAGGCAATACCATTCAGGACATAGGCATGGCCAAGGACTTCAAGTCTAAAACACCAAAAGCAATGGCAACAAAAGCCAAAATTGACAAATGGGATCTAATTAAGCTAAAGAGCTTCTGCACAGCAAAAGAAACTACCATCAGAGTGAACAGGCAACCTACAGAATGGGAGAAAATTTTTGCAATCTACCCATATGACAAAGGGCTAATATCCAGAATCTACAAATAACTTAAACAAATTTACAAGAAAAAAAAAACCCATCAAAAAGTGGGCAAAGGATAGGAACAGATACTTCTCAAAAGGAGACATTTATGCAGCCAACAGACACATGAAAAAATGCTCATCATCACTGGCCATCAGAGAAATGCAAATCAAAACCACAATGAGATACCATCTCACGCCAGTTAGAATGGCGATCATTAAAAAGTCAGGAAACAACAGATGCTGGAGAGGATGTGGAGAAATAGGAACACTTTTACACTGTTGGTGGGACTGTCAACTAGTTCAACCATTGTGGAAGACAGACTGGCGATTCCTCAAGGATCTAGAACTAGAAATACCATTTGACCCAGCCATCCCATTACTAGGTATACACCAAAGGATTATAAATCAAGCTAGTATAAAGACACATGCACACGTATGTTTATTGTGGCACTATTCACAATAGCAAAGACTTGGAACCAACCCAAATGTCCAACAATGATAGACTGGATTAAGAAAATGTGGCACATATACACCATGGAATACTATGCAGCCATAAAAAAGGATGAGTTCATGTCCTTTGTAGGGACATGGATGAAGCTGGAAACCATCATTCTCAGCAAAGTATCACAAGGACAGAAAACCAAACACCATGTTTTCTCACTCAAAGGTGGGAATCGAACAATGAGAACTCTTGGACACAGGGCGGGGAACATCACACACTGGAGCCTGTCGGGGGGTGGGGGGCTGGGAGAGGGATAGCATTAGGAGAAATACCTAATGTAAATGATGAGCTGATGGGTGCAGCACAGCAACATGGTACATGTATACATACGTAACCTGCACGTTGTGCACACATACCCTAGAACTTAAAGTATAATAATTAAAAATAAATAAATAAAAGTAGCAAAACCACAATTACTTTTGCACCAACCTAATAAAAAATACAGGAACAAAGAAGAAACTTCTCTAAAGAGGCCAGTTTCACCTGTCCAAGAGATGTTACAGCAGGAATCAGTTATGTATCCCTGGGATTCTCATGTGTTTCACAAAGTTTCCTTGGCTGTCCTACATCATTCCCAATTCTCCCTTTGCTGCTCTGGCTTGCTGTGGTAATACTTCCCATTGCTGCATTGCCAGGTCAGCGTCTGTGCCACCAATTGTCATTGGAGGTGCTGCTGCCATCATTCAAAGAAGCTGCCTATGCCAGATGCCAAGGGGTTCATGTCTACACTGAGGGTACTTCCTCATGTCATTGCCAAACCTGCTACAATCAATTCTGCAGACATCCTTTGCTTTTTTAGCAAACTGCTCTTCCAGTTCTCTGTTGGATATTCCTGGCAGTCATTTCGTCCTGGGATGCTTTATGTCAATCGGGGCTGTGATGAATAATTGAAGAGACAGACATTGCATTGTAGTCGGATTCTTTTTCCCGTTTCTGGCAATGCCCACTGTCTGCGTACTCAGCTTGAGAATTCTGACTTTGTTCTCAAGATCAGTTCTCTGCTAGGAATCTCCTTAGTACACCTCTGGGAGGTGTGAGGACACCTCTGGAAGGCTACTTCATCAGCATCTAGCTATGCCAAGGGCTCTCAGAGTGCCAGCCCCAAGCTGCAATCCCAGCTGTATATGGGTTTCTACACATTTTGATTTTCTGTAATAGAGGACAAAACTAGGACAAGCTGATGGAGATTTAATGGCCTAGAATAATGAACATCAAAACAAGGAAAGGACCACAGAGATATGGGAGAAATGCTGGAAGGCCTAGGATATTTTGAGATTATTCTGAGATATCTCAGATAATCAGACGCCTCCTTGGCAGGAGATTCCTGCTTTAAATCCCATAACTATATGGAGTAAATTGTGAGTTTGGTTTGTGCTGAGAGTGAAGGGGGGAGTCTGAAGTCAATACCAAATGGCCCAAAGTTTTTAAAAAGCTGACCAACTGGGACCCAGAAGGAAGCAGGGCCACAGGTCACAGGAGGACAGCAACCTGGGGAGCAGCGCTGGGATCTGGAGCTGTGAAATGCATGAGAGAACAGTGATATTGGCAGAAACTGTTGAGGCTCTGAATCCTCTGGTTAATGCTCCTAGTACATAGTTTAATGAGATGGTTTCTAAGGATCCTGTACCTGTTACTTTACAGGACTCTCTCTACACGTTTAATGGAAACTTTCCATTGCTCTCCTAAAGCTGCTGCCGCATGTCTGCCTTTTTAATGGGCTTGTGTTATGTCCTGGGGATGCAGAGGAGACAGAAACAAATTATCCTGACTTCCTTGCAGTCCATCGGTTGAGGAAGAAAGAAAGTGACATGAAATCACGAGAGAGAGTTTGGAAAATTTTCCTACTCTATGGGAAAGGAAGGGCGACTGAGCTAAAATAACGAGCAGGGACTGTCTTTCTGTAGCTCTGGAATACATGCAAGAAGCAGGGAGGAAGAGCTTCTGGAGAGACCCGTGTATCTGGGGTGTGAAAAAAATGTGGACTCGGATTTCACATATTTTGCCTATATTAGCGATCATTATTGCATCTGCCCCACTTTGCTAAATTCCAATATTTGTTTTATTCACAGAGCTCATCCTCCCATTATTTTTAGAGAGTAAAGCTGATTATAAAAACTTTATTCTTCATTGTTTGACTTAATTCCCTCGTGTTAAAAAATACAGTATAATCTCATCAATTCAGACCAGTTGCTTTAAATCATTTTGCAAGCAAGTAAGTTCCCTTATTCTTCAGAATCTCTTAATTTGTGATTCATGGACTAGAAGCTAGTCTATGAATCTTTGTTTCTTCTGAAGAAGGAGCTGTGAAAAGCCAGTTAATACTCAAATTGAGACTACAAAGGTCCTGCTCAGTCTACTTGATAAGGTAAATTGAAAGGGTCATGGTAAATTTCTTTTTTTTTTATTGCACTTTAAGTTTTAGGGTACATGTGCAAAACGTGCAGGTTTGTTACATATGTGTACATGTGCCATGTTGGTGTGCTGCACCCACTAACTCGTCATTTAACATTAGGTATATCTCCTAATGCTATCCCTCCCCACTCCCCTCACCCCACAACAGGCCCCGGTGTGTGATGTTCCCCTTCCTGTGTCCAAGTGTCCTCATTGTTCAATTCCCACCTATGAGTGAGAACATGCGGTGTTTGGTTTTTTGTCCTTGCGATAGTTTGCTGAGAATCATGGTTTCCAGCTTCATCCATGTCCCTACAAAGGACATGAACTCATCCTTTTTTATGGCTGCATAGTATTCCATGGTGTATATGTGCCACATTTTCTTAATCCAGTCTATCATTGTTGGACATTTGGGTTGGTTCCAAGTCTTCGCTATTGTGAATAGTGCCACTATAAACATACATGTGCCTGTGTCTTTATAGCAGCATGATTTATAATCCTTTGAGTATATACCCAGTAATGGGATGGCTGGGTCAAATGGTATTTCTAGTTCTAGATCCTTGAGGAATCACCACACTGTCTTCCACAATGGTTGAATTAGTTGACAGTCCCACCAACAGTGTAAAAGCGTTCCTATTTCTCCACATCCTCTCCAGCACCTGTTGTTTCCTGACTTTTTAATGATCGCCATTCTAACTGGTGTGAGATGGTATCTCATTGTGGTTTTGATTTGCATTTCTCTAATGGCCAGTGATGATGAGCATTTTTTCATGTGTCTGTTGGCTGCATAAATGTCTCCTTTTGAGAAGTGTCTGTTCGTATCCTTTGCCCACTTGTTGATGGAGTTGTTTGTTTTTTTCTTGTAAATTTGTTTGAGTTCATTGTAGATTCTGGATATTAGCCCTTTGTCCGATGAGTAGACTGCAAAAATTTTCTCCCATTCTGTAGGTTGCCTGTTCACTCTGATGGTAGTTTCTTTTGCTGTGCAGAAGCTCTTTAGTTTAATTAGATCCCATTTGTCAATTTTGGCTTTTGTTGCCATTGCTTTTGCTGTTTTAGACTTGAAGTCCTTGGCCATGCCTATGTCCTGAATGGTATTGCCTAGGTTTTCTTATAGGGTTTTTGTGGTATGAGGTCTAACACGTAAGTCTTTAATCCATCTTGAATTAATTTTTGTATAAGGTGTAAGGAAGGGATCCAGTTTCAGCTTTCTACATATGGCTAGCCAGTTTTCCCAGCACCATTTATTAAGTAGGGAATCCTTTCCCCATTTCTTGTTTTTGTCAGGTTTGTCAAAGATCAGGTGGTTGTAGATACGTGGAATTATTTCTGAGGGCTCTGTTCTGTTACATTGGTCTATATCTATGTTTTGGTACCAGTACCATGCTGTTTTGGATACTGTAGCCTTGTAGTATAGTTTGAAGTCAGGTAGCGTGATGCCTCCAGCTTTGCTCTTTTGGCTTAGGATTGACTTGGCGATGCAGGCTCTTTTTTGGTTCCATATGAACTTTAAGGTAGTTTTTTCCAATTCTGTGAAGAAAGTCATTGGTAGCTTGATGGGGGTGGCCTTGAATCTATAAATTACCTTGGGCAGTATGGCCATTTTCACGATATTGATTCTTCCTACCCATGAGCATGGAATGTTCTTCCATTTCTTTGTATCCTCTTTTATTTCATTGAGCAGTGGTTTGTAGTTCTCCTTGAAGAGGTCCTTCACATGCCTTGTAAGTTGGATTCCTAGGTATTTTATTCTCTTTGAAGCAATTGTGACTGGGAGTTCACTCATGATTTGGCTCTCTGTTTGTCTGTTATTGGTGTATAAGAATGCTTGTGATTTTTGCATATTGATTTTGTATCCTGAGGCTTTTCTGAAGTTGCTTATCAGCTTAAGGAGGTTTTGAGCTGAGATGATGGGGTTTTCTAAATATTCAATCATGTCATTTGCAAATAGGGACAATTTGACTTCCTCTTTTCCTAATTGAATACCGTTTATTCCTTTCTCCTGCCTGATTGCCCTGGCCAGAGCTTCCACCACTATGTTGAATAGGAGTAGTGAGAGAGGGTGCCCTTGTCTTGTGCCAATTTTCAAATGGAATGCTTCCAGTTTTTGCCCATTCAGTATGATATTGTCTGTGGGTCTGTCATAAATAGCTCTTATTATTTTTATATATATTCCATCAATACTTAGTTTATTAAGAGTTTTTAGCATGAAGGGCTGTTGAATTTTGCTGAAGGCCTTTTCTGCATCTATTGAGATAATCATGTGGTTTTTGTTGTTGGCTCTGTTTGTATGCTGGATTATGTTTATTGATTTGCGTATGTTGAAGCAGCCTTGCATCCCGGGGATGAAGCACACTTGATCATGGTCGATAAGCTTTTTGAGGTGCTGCTGGATTCGGTTTGCCAGTATTTTATTGAGGATTTTCGCATCAATGTTTATCAGGGATATTGGTCTAAAATTCTCTTTTTTTGTTGTGTCTCTGCCAGGCTTTGGTATCAGGATGATGCTGGCCTCATAAAATGAGTTAGGGAGGATTCCTTCTTTTTCTATTGATGGGAATAGTTTCAGAAGGAATGGTACCAGCTCCTCCTTGTACCTCTGGTAGAATTCGGCTGTGAATCCATCTGGTCTTGGACTTTTTTTGGTTGGTAAGCTATTAATTATTGCCTCAATTTCAGGGCCTGTTATTGGTCTATTCAGAGATTCAACTTCTTCCTGGCTTAGTCTTGGGAGGGTGTATGTGTCCAGGAATTTATCCATTTCTTCTAGATTTTCTAGTTTATTTGCATAGAGGTGTTTATAGTATTCTCTGATGGTAGTTTGTATTTCTGTGGGATCGGTGGTGATATCCCCTTTATCATTTTTTATTATGTCTATTTGAGTCTTCTCTCTTTTCTTCTTTATTAGTCTTACTAGTGGTCTATCAATTTTGCTCATCTTTTCAAAAAACCAGCTCCTGGATTCATTGATTTTTTGAAGGGCTTTTTGTATCTCTATTTCCTTCAATTCTGCTCTGATCTTAGTTATTTCTTGCCTTCTGCTAGCTTTTGAATGTGTTTGCTCTTGCTTCTCTAGTTCTTTTAATTGTGATGTTAGGGTGTCAATTTTAGATCTTTCCTGCTTTCTCTTGTGGGCATTTAGTGCTATAAATTTCCCTCTACACACTGCTTTGAATGTGTCCCAGAGATTCTGGTATGTTGTATCTTTGTTCTCGTTGGTTTCAAAGGACATCTTTATTTCTGCCTTCATTTCGTTATGTACCCAGTAGTCATTCAGGAGCAGGTTGTTCAGTTTCCATGTAGTTGAGTGGTTTTGAGTGAGTTTCTTAATCCTAAGTTCTAGTTTGATTGCACTGTGGTCTGAGAGACAGTTTGTTATAATTTCTGTTCTTTTACATTTGCTGAGGAGTGTTTTACTTCCAACTATGTGGTCAGTTTTGGAATAGGTGTGGTGTGGTGCTGAAAAGAATGTATATTCTGTTGATTTGGGGTGGAGATTTCTGTAGATGTCTATTAGGTCCACTTGGTGCAGAGCTAAGTTCGATTCCTGGATATCCTTGTTAGCTTTCTGTCTCTTTGATCTGTCTAATGTTGACAGTGGGATGTTAAAGTCTCCCATTATTACTGTATGGGAGTCTAAGTCTCTTTTTTTTTTTTTTATTGTCCCCCTGGCAAATCTTTTTTTCTTTTTTCTTTTTTTTGTATTTATTTATTTATTTTATTGATCATTCTTGGGTGTTTCTCGCAGAGGGGGATTTGGCAGGGTCATAGGACAATAGTGGAGGGAATGTCAGCAGATAAACAAGTGAACAAAGGTCTCTGGTTTTCCTAGGCAGAGGACCCTGCGGCCTTTCGCAGTGTTTGTGTCCCTGGGTACTTAAGGTTAGGGAGTGGTGATGACTCTTAACGAGCATGCTGCCTTCAAGCATCTGTTTAACAAAGCACATCTTGCACCGCCCTTAATCCATTTAACCCTGAGTGGACACAGCACATGTTTCAGAGAGCACAGGGTTGGGGGTAAGGTCACAGATCAACAGGATCCCAAGGCAGAAGAATTTTTCTTAGTACAGAACAAAATGAAAAGTCTCCCATGTCTACTTCTCTCTACACAGACACGGCAACCATCCGATTTCTCAATCTTTTCCCCACCTTTCCCGTCTTTCTATTCCACAAAACCGCCATTGTCATCTTGGCCTGTTCTCAATGAGCTGTTGGGTACACCTCCCAGACGGGGTCGTGGCCGGGCAGAGGGGCTCCTCAATTCCCAGTAGGGGTGGCTGGGCAGAGGCGCCCCTCGCCTCCCGGACAGGGCGGCTGGCCGGGCGGGGGGCTGACCCCCCCACCTCCCTCCCGGACGGGGTGGCTGGCTGGGCAGAGGGGCTCCTCACTTCCCAGTAGGGGCAGCCGGGCAGAGGCGCCCCTCACCTCCTGGACAGGGCGGCTGGCCAGGCAAGGGGCTGACCCCCCCCCCACCCACCTCCCTCCCGGACGGGGCGGCTGGCCGGGCGGGGGGCTGAACCCCCACCTCCCTCCCGGACGGGGCGGCTGGCCGGGCAGAGGGGCTCCTCAATTCCCAGTAGGGGTGGCCGGGCAGAGGCGCCCCTCGCCTCCCGGACGGGGCGGCTGGCCGGATGGGGTGGCTGGCCGGGCGGGGGGCTGACCCCCCCACCTCCCTCCCGGACGGGGCGGCTGGCCGGGCAGAGGGGCTCCTCACTTCCCAGTAGGGGCGGCCAGGCAGAGGCGCCCCTCACCTCCCGGACAGGGCGGCTGGCCGGGCGGGGGGCTGACCCCCCCCCACCTCCCTCCCAGACGGGGCGGCTGGCCGGGCAGAGGGGCTCCTCACTTCCCAGTAGGGGCGGCCGGGCAGAGGCGCCCCTCACCTCCCGTCCGGGAGGCTGGCCGGGTGGGGGGCTGACCCCCCCACCTCCCTCCCGGACGGGGCGGCTGGCCTGGCGGGGGCTGACCCCCACCTCCCTCCCGGACGGGGTGGCTGCCAGGCAGAGATGCTCCTCACCTCCCAGACCGGGTGGCTGCCGGACGGAGGGGCTCCTCACCTCTCAGACAGGGCGGTTGCCAGGCAGAGGGTCTCCTCACTTATCAGACGGGGCAGCCGGGCAGAGACGCTCCTCACCTCCCAGACGGGGTCGCGGCCGGGCAGAGGTGCTCCTCACATACCAGACGGGGCGGCGGGGCAGAGGCGCTCCCCACATCCCAGACGATGGGCGGCCGGGCAGAGACGCTCCTCACTTCCTAGATGGGATGGCGGGGGGGAAGAGGCGCTCCTCATTTCCTAGATGGGATGGCGGCCGGGCAGAGACGCTCCTCACTTTCCAGACTGGGCAGCCAGGCAGAGGGGCTCCTCACATCCCAGACGATGGGCGGCCAGGCAGAGACGCTCCTCACTTCCCAGACGGGGTGGCGGCTGGGCAGAGGCTGCAATCTCCGCTCTTTGGGAGGCCAAGGCAGGCGGCTGGGAGGTGGTTGTAGCAAGCCGAGATCACGCCACTGAACTCCAGCCTGGGCACCATTGAGCACTGAGTGAACGAGACTCCGTCTGCAATCCCGGCACCTCGGGAGGCCGAGGCTGGCGGATCACTCGCGGTTAGGAGCTGGAGACCAGCCCGGCCAACACAGCGAAACCCCGTCTCCACCAAAAAAATACGAAAACCAGTCAGGCGTGGCGGCGCGCGCCTGCAATCGCAGGCACTCGGCAGGCTGAGGCAGGAGAATCAGGCAGGGAGGTTGCAGTGAGCCGAGATGGCAGCAGTACAGTCCAGCTTTGGCTCGGCATCAGAGGGAGTACAGTCCAGCTTTGGCTCAGCATCAGAGGGAGACCGTGGAAAGAGAGGGAGAGGGAGACCGTGGGGAGAGGGAGAGGGAGAGGGAGAGGTCTAAGTCTCTTTGTAGCTTTCTAAGGACTTGATTTATGAATCTGGGTGCTCCTGTATTGGGTGCATATATATTTAGGATAGTTAGCTCTTCTTGTTGAATTGATCCCTTTACCATTATGTAATGGCCTGGTTTGTCTCTTTTGATCTTTGTTGGTTTAAAGTCTGCTTTATCAGAGACTAGGATTGCAACCCCTGCCTTTTTTTGTTTTCCATTTGCTTGGTAGATCTTCCTCCATCCCTTTATTTTGAGCCTATGTGTGTCTCTGCACGTGAGAGGGTTTCCTGAGTACAGCACACTGATGGGTCTTGACTCTTTATCCAATTTGCCAGTCTGTGTCTTTTAATTGGAGCATTTAGCCCATTTACATTTAAGGTTAATATTGTTATGTGTGAATCTGATCCTGTCATTATGATGTTAGCTGGTTATTTTGCTTGTTAGTTGATGCAGTTTCTTCCTACCCTTGATGGTCTTTACAATTTGGCATGTTTTTGCAGTGGCTGGTACCAGTTATTCCTTTCCATGTTTAGCGCTTCCTTCAGGAGCTCCTGTAGGGCAGGCCTGGTGGTGACAAAATCTCTCAGCATTTGCTTGTCTGTACAGTATTTTATTTCTCCTTCCCTTTTGAAGCTTAGTTTGGCTGGATATGAAATTCTGGGTTGAAAATTCTTTTCTTTAAGAATGTTGAATATTGGCCCCCACTCTCTTCTGGCTTGTAGAGTTTCTGCCAAGAGATCAGCTGTTAGTCTGATGGGCTTCCTTGGTGGGTAACCCGACCTTTCTCTCTGGCTGCCCTTAATATTTTTTCCTTCATTTCAACTTTGGTGAATCTGACAATTATGTGTCTTGGAGTTGCTCTTCTCGAGGAGTATCTTTGTGGCATTCTCTGTATTTCCTGAATTTGAATGTTGGCCTGCCTTGCTAGGTTGGGGAAGTTCTCCTGGATAATATCCTGCAGAGTGTTTTCCAGCTTGATTCCATTCTCCCTGTCACTTTCAGGTACACCAATCAGACATAGATTTGGTCTTTTCACATAGTCCCATATTTCTTGGAGGCTTTGTTCATTTCTTTTTATTCTTTTTTCTCTAAACTTCTCTTCTCGCTTCATTTCATTGATTTGATCTTCCATCACTGATACCCTTTCTTCCAGTTGATCAAATCAGCTACTGAGGCTTCTGCATTTGCCACGTAGTTCTCGTGCCATGGTGTTCAGCTCCATCAGGTCCTTTAAGGACTTCTCTGCATTGGTTATTCTAGTTAGCCATTCGTCTAATCTTTTTTCAAGGTTTTTAACTTCTTTGCCATGGGTTCGAACTTCCTCCTTTACCTCAGAGTAGTTTGATCATCTGAAGCCTTCTTCTCTCAACTCGTCAAAGTCATTTTCCATCCAGCTTTGTTCTGTTGCTGGTGAGGAGCTGTGTTCCTTTGGAGAAGGAGAGGCATTCTGATTTTTAGAATTTTCAGTTTTTCTGCTCTGTTTTTTACCCCATCTTTGTGGTTTTATCTACCTTTGGTCTTTGATGATGGTGATGTACAGATGGGGTTTTGGTGTGGATGTCCTTTCCGTTTTTTAGTTTTCCTTCTAACAGTCAGGACTCTCAGCTGCAGGTCTGTTGGAGTTTGCTGGCGGTCCACTCCATACCCTGTTTGCCTGGGTATCAGCATCAGAGTCTGCAGAACAGTGGATATTGGTGAACAGCAAATGTTGCTGCCTGATCGTTCCTCTGGAAGTTTTGTCTCAGAGGAGTACCTGGCCGTGTGAGGTGTCAGTCTGCCCCTACTTGGGGGGTGCCTCCCAGTTGGGCTACTCAGGGGTCAGGGACCCACTTGGGGAGGCAGTCTGTCTGTTCTCAGATCTCCAGCTGTGTGCTGGGAGAACCACTACTCTCTTCAAAGCTGTCAGACGGGGACATTTAAGTCTGCAGAGGTTTCTGCTGCCTTTTGTTTGGCTATGCCCTGCCCCCAGAGGTGGAGTCTACAGAGGCAGGCAGGCCTCCTTGAGCTGCAGTGGGCTCCGCCCAGTTCAAGCTTCCCAGCCACTTTATTTACCTACTCAAGCCTCAGCAATGGCGGGCGCCCCTCTGCCAGCCTCGCTGCTGCCTTGCAGTTTGATCTCAGACTGCTGTGCTAGCAATGAGCGAGGCTCCGTGGGCATAGGACCCTCCGAGCCAGGCGCGGGATACAATCTCCTGGTGTGCCGTTTGCTAAGACCGTTGGAAAAGCGCAGTATTAGGGTGGGAGTGACTCGATTTTCCAGGTGCCGTCTGTCACCCCTTTCCTTGGCTAGGAAAGGGAATTCCCTGACCCCTTGCGCTTCCCGGGTGAGGCGATGCCTCACCCTGCTTCAGCTCATGCTCGGTGCACTGCATCCACTGTCCTGCTCCCACTCTCTGACAGTCCCCAGTGAGATGAACCCGGTACCTCAGTTGGAAATGCAGAAATCATTTGTCTTCTGCATCGCTCACGCTGGGAGCTGTAGACTGGAGCTGTTCCTATTCGGCCATCTTGGCTGCACCCCCAGGTCATGGTAAATTTCTTAAACATTCTCTTTGGAACACCAAAAGAATGTCCACACATTATTATTTTTTTTTAACCCAAAAACTATAGAAACCCCCAAACTCTTATCTCCTCCAAATTGCAGGCACAGAAACTCTCTAAATTGTCACTTTCCTTAATAATGGGTTACCTTATTCAATGTGGTAAAATGTAATATTACTTCTCCTTTAAAATGGTTCATAGCTTGTTGTTGTTGTTGTTATTTAGAATGACACTTGCTCTTCATCCCTTAATCAATGAGTCAATATTTATTGAGATGAAGTTCTGCCAGAATTGTACTCATTGGGGAATAAAAGAGGTACAACAAGGTTTGTCCTGAAGAGATTAAAATATGGCTGAAGAAAAGTTACTTCATACTTATTTACATGTGAAAATGTGGCTACCAATAAAAGACAGTATAAAGGAAAATGAGTCCTTGGTTTCTACCCTGCTTAGGAGGGACAAAGTAAATAATAAATTTCCTCCCTGCAAACAACTGAAAGAAAATACAGAATCCAGGTGCCTTCTCCCAACAGTGCTCTTTTTACAAGCACTGAAATGTGAATGACAGGCGGGAAGACCAGCCTTCCTGGTTCCCAGGTGAGGCTCTTCCCACCTGGAAGTCTGCAAGGTTTCTCTTTTATCATTATTATTATTATTATTTATCTTACTTTAAGTTATGGGATACATGTGTAGAACGTGCAGGTTTGTTACATAGGTACACATGTGCCATGGTGGTTTCCTGCGACCATCAACCTGTCATCTAGGTTTTAAGCCCCACATGCATTAGGTATTTGTCCTAATACTCTCCCCTGCCTTGCCCCCATTCCCTGACAGGCCATGTACAACCCAGTGTGTGATGTTCCCCTCCCTGTGCCCACGTGTTGTCATTGTTCAACTCCCACTTATGAGTGAGAACATGTGGTATTTTGTTTTCTGTTCCTGTGTTAGTTTGCTGAGAATAATGGTTTCCAGCTTCATCCATGTCCCTGCAAAGGACATGGACTCATTCTTTCTATGACTACACTATTCCATGGTGTATATGTGTCATATTTTCTTTTCCAGTCTATTATTGATGGGTATTTGGGTTGGTTCCAAGTCTTTGCTATTGTAAATAGTGCTGTAAGGTTTCTCTTTCATCATTCCTCAGGGGTCCTGCCTTGTAATTCCCTTGCAGGGCCTGCCCTCTCTGGCATTGGACCAGTATCAGTCTCTTTGCTGCAGGTCTTCTCTTTCTAGCTCCCTGTGCTGCTCGTTGAGGGCTAATCAGTCTAAGAGTAAAAAGCCCTTGGAAAGAGAGCAGAGGTAGGAGGAGGCTGAGGTCAGGCTACGTATTCCATTGGCTCCCTCTCTGTGGGTCTAGCTGTGCCCCTGTACTGAAATATCCAATCCTTTCATGAAGGTTTGCCCTGCAGGATTTCTTGCCTTCTAGAACTCAGTAACCTCTTCTTCAACTTGTTCCAACTGGCTCAGGACGAGGACTGATACACAGCTGCTAGCCCTGGGTTCCTTCCTCTTCTGCTTTCCTTACACTCTGTCCGTGCCTTTGTAATTAGTCCCTTTGCAAATGAACACTCTACAAATTTTCCAAGATTCATTTCCAAGATTTTGACAGGGACCCTGCCAGGTACAAGGATCTCCTTGTTAAATTCTTTAACCTAAAGAAACAACACAAATTGTGGGATTTCAGGCACCACGGCAGTCAGGGCAGAGTCATATTTTTGATGAATCCCCTTTTGTTTATGTCATTAGGCAATCATCTGACTTATTTATTCCTTACTGCAAACTTTGAATTGTTGAAATCCAGTGCAATGCTTAAATAAAAATTAATTTGTGTCCAGCAAATGGAATAGATTTTAAAAGGAGCTGCTCGAGGTGATTTAGTGAATTGTCAGGTTTCTATTTCACAAATAACAAAATAGAAATTAAGGGCATGTCAGAATGAATTAGGACTGGAACATACATAAAAGTGATTTTATTAGAACATACATAAAAGTGATTTTATTATGCTTACTTAATTCACATTGTCATGAATGGCACTTTGCTGTATATTCTGTGGATTTTTCACTCTCTACTTGTGTTATCGTTCAGTAAGACAAACACATTGGGAAAGTGATATAATAGGAATGGAATTACGAGTGAATCAATCTTGTTTTGCTGTTTCATACGCTAGTGTTTGGCTCTCCTGCTGACATATTAGGGCAGGGCTTAGTGGAAATGGGCAATGAATGCATGCGCTCTCTCTCTTCCTCTCTCTCTCTCTCTCTTCCTTTCTCTCTCTCTCTCTCTTCCTCTCTCTCTCTCTCTCTCTTTAAGGTCAAGTGTGGAAAAGAAAACTAGGAGTCTTTCAATGAACTTTAGAGGCTAGACTAAAGGCAACTTGCCCTTTAGCTAGATGGTTTTGGCCCGCCTGATATCTTAGCTTCTGGGCAGAGGAAGTCTCTGATCCTGCTCTGCACGTTGCAGAGATGGCCACCAGGAATCTGGTCATGTCACGCCGGCCAAGTCTCGAGGCCCTGCAAGCAAGCATTGGCCAGGAAGCGAACGTGAATCGACCCCATTCCCGTTAATGTGTAATCTAGATTGGGGGATTAGACCAACACACATATGAAATTGCAAATAACACTAAAGGTCACACGAGACCAGAGGCAAAGCCGGGCAGGAGGTGTCTGAGAAGCTCAGACCTGCAGAGTGAACTCGAGTTGGGTCCTAGAAGGGCATGCCCAAATGGAGATCTTTATCTGCCTCTTCTGCTTGACAAGGACAGTCCCTAACAACTTCATGGCCCCCCACCCAAATGCTGGGTTATCTTCCACTCTTGACACAAAGTACTCCACTTCAGGACTCAGTGACCTTCCTGAGGGTTCTTCACCTGCTGATCCTCCATTCATCCGATGGTGTCTCAGGATGCTTCGTCTTTCCTCTTCTCCCTCAAAAACACCTCTATTTTGTTCTGTTGTATAGCCTTCTGTCTGCTAGGTGATAATGGGATAAAAATAATCCATATGCAATAGTTAAAGTTACTTCTTCCAGGGGGTGTAACGCCTCAACCCAGCGAGAATGCTCTGAAGCAGGTGCCTCCAGCCATTGGGAAGTGGGGAAATGACTGCTTTGGAACCCTTCAAGCCCTCGCATGTGGGTGTGAGCCCCCCACCCAGGAATGCCATGCCTTCCCGAGACTTCAAGATCTCTGTCCTGAAGGCTATTCTGAGCCCATGCTCTCTCCTCACATCCAGACTTGGCTGTGTCTGCCAGGGCAGTGGTATAGGAACCCCCTTTAATCACACTTCGGAAAGTACATACCTATCTGAATATTTTACATTTGATCCCCAAAATTTCAAAGGAAGAATTTTTTTCATTGACAGTTGGGGGAAATGAGGCTGTGAGGAGGAGTGACTTGCCCAAGGTCAACGGTAACAGAACAGAGCCTAGGACTCGGGCGCCCCGACACTCAGCACAGCGTTTTTCTTGCTCCGTGCTGTGTTCCAAAGGTATGGCTCAAGTGTGTTTGATTTTTCCAGATATCTAGGTATGAAGCTCTGAAACACAGACAGGAGAGGGTCAAGCTCTGGTGAATGGGCCAAGTGTGGTAGTTATTCCAGTGTCATTTACTGGAAGAGCCAGAAGTCCACTTCTTGGGGTAGTAATGAGTGACAGCCAATGTTTGGTGCTTTATTAAAATTTAGTAAACCCATTCTCCATATATTTGTTTAATTACTTCCACTTTACAAATGAAATTGTGGTTTAAAGGCACCAAGTCACGTGTTCAGATTGAGTCTACTGGTCTTATGCGGCCAGGTTTTCTGACCCGTTTCTGATTCTGACATGCAATGCTCCCTGTCTGGCTTGGATGACAAAGGAAAAAAGGAATTCAAATGATAACAGCACGTCCATGTAATATGTAATTACTACATCTTTTAGAAATTTAAAATCATATATAGGAAAAGCCATTATACATGTTTGTCAGGTGAGTCTGGTATTAATACCACAGTGCATCTCCATACTTAAGCATAGTTGGTTGCTTTGAAAATGTGGCAAATACACCAAGAATTACTTTCTGGGTCAGTGAGGGTGGCCTCCTCACCTGAGAAGGATCGATGCATTTAGAGGCAGTGCATAAGAAAACCTGGGCAGTGTATACAGAGGCCCTTGTCTTGGTGTAGATATTTAGACATTTCAGGGACTTTTGTTTTGTTTCGTTTTCCCACTCATTCAGCAAACTTGATTGAGCGTTTCATCCGGGCAGACGCTGAGCTAAAGGACACAAGATGAGCAGCAGCCTCTTGCTCTCCCAGACTGCGTGTCATTTGGAGAACATATTAGACTACTCCCACGCTGCCACAGAGCCCTGCACAGTGTTGGGGAGGCCACTTCTCAGGGGACTCACTGAGGAGGGAAAGGAATGAAGCGCAAATCCAAATAGCCTCAGGCATCCCAGTTGAGTGTTCACGGATCCCTCTGATTGAGGGATTGCCCCCTCCCTCAGCCCACGCGTTCTCCGTTGAGGGTTCCTGCCATAGTGAGCTGTGCCTGTTGAGTGTGACCAGCCAGATAAAAAGGCTGGGAATCATTAGCGTAGATGGAAAAATGAAAGATGAGCTAATTTAAATGGAAGAAGTCCTACTTAAGCTTCATTCACGTATTGGAAATTGGTACTGCCATTTATCCTCAAATAATACCCTGGGCATTATCTGCTCACAATAACTTTGGCAAAGTGTTGACTCAATGCCCTTAGGTGAAATAAGCTTCTAGCCACTGCCTGAGAGCTTATCGTCAATGAATTCTGCTTGGTGTATACTGACAGTCTGCACGAAGCAGACCAAATAAGTCTATTAATATTCAGCCAAATACCAATAAAGTCAATGTGATTTATTTATCATATTGATCTACCCTTCCAAAGCCAAGACAAGATTAAATGAGCATTGGCTTGTGTTGTCTTGAAAATGCAGGACAGATAAAAATCAAAGTGTTATCTTCCATGCACTCGGAAGATTAATTGGCCACTCTATTCTTTTGGTGCTCAATGTAATGTGCTAACCAGTTCTTTGGGGGAAATCATAGCCTTTGTATAGCACAGCAGCATTTCTCAGAAGGTGTTTCTGCATTCACAAAATGTCTAATTAACAATTCTGCTTGAGTTTTTTCCTTCATCTAAAAATAATGTCAACAAATCGCTACCATTTCCCAAATATCTGCTTATGTCTTATTTTACCAGCCAATTCATGTATTACTGGGAGTTTACGATATGCATACCTCAAAAATAAATGCCTCTCCTGCAAACTGGTGAAGAGACTCACACACAATAGCACGAGGCCAGAGGTTTGTATAGAGCTGAGTTGTGTAAAAGTCTCATGAAAACTCACCAATCCATATTTCTGGGCTGAAAACTTTAGAGTTTCTTTAACCTTTCCATCCACCATATATTTTTACGGACTTTGAAAAATTGCTGTCTTAATGGTCAAGTGTGGGGCTGTAAGGAGATGATAGCCTCAGAGAAGTGGCAGCAGGAGATGACTCCAGAGTTCGCTGTCCAGCACTGTCTCACCGCAGTGAAGAAAACTGCATGCAGAGAAGCAAGCGAATGACTGAGTGACAGGGCTGCAAGCTCAGTGTGCTGAGCACCAGGGCAGGGCTGCTGAAGCATCCCAGCTCATGTGACCTGAACACCTACTTCATCCAGGTGCTGTCTAGGTACAGTGGGCATCAGAGACAAAAACACACCGACCCACCTGCCTGCCTCCCTCCCCCTCTATGGAGCTCTGTATATTAGATCGTAGCCCAGGAATGAATTAAAGGTAAAATAGCTCTTTTCTGTTCATTTTCTTATTTATTCAGGGAAACTGTGAAGCAGGTGAAGTTTGGCATTAGGCCCTTGCACTTTCATTTTTGTGTTTCTTTCACATTTGCTGGAAAACCATGTCTCCTATTGCTGGTGCCCACGGCCCCCCAGAAAACCATGTCTCCTGTCCCTGGTGCCCACGGTCCCCCAGGCTGCCCTTTGGTGTGTGGGCTTCACATTGTGCAGCCTCCCCTCCACACACACACTCGCATACATACACACACTCACACCCTTGCACACACTCACACCAACACACGCACACCTGCCCTCTCTTGCTCTGTTCCAAACTCAGTCATTAATTTCTTCTCTCTTAAAGTGACAACTTGGAGATGAAGGAAAACCCATCCATCTTAAGTCTTCATGTCACTTAGGGCTATTCCTACGTTTTAGAGAATATGCTTTAGCTTATGTCACTTATAAATCCAAATTTGAGAGGCAACTGGTGGCCTGGTACCCTGGTGGCCTAAGAAGTCCCCGGGTACCTGGGGAGACTGAGAGGACTCAGAGGTGGGTGGGAAGGTGGCTACATCCTTGGGATTTGGCCTTCAAGGCTTTTCACTGATTTGGGTAACAAGGTGTTGGCCTCACTGCAAAGCATAGTAGGGCAGAAAGATACGGGGCCAAGTTAGGATGTGGACTCATTCCACCACCAAGGTAGGTAAAGTTATTTTAGGCTGTGAAAGGCAGACACTTCCGTGTGATTTATTTAGCAGCAGAAAGATTCCTCTCTATGAATTTTAAAGCTCCTACTCTGCCTGCTACCAGCCTGGGATTGGAGGGGAGGGCAATATACAACTGGATTCCAAATTCATTGTGCTGTAGAATACTGATTCTTTGGTATTTTCTAAGAGTTGCTTCTTTGCCTCCCCAGTACATGATCACTTTTAAAACTGTTCTATGCATGCCAGGAAATAACTTTTAGGTGCGGCATTCCACACTTGTCCTTTACAACAACCTTCAAATATTCCTGTTCAAATCCTCTGCATCCTTAACAACTTAAATTGACTCATTATTGAAATAGATATAAAATCAGTATCACTTTAGATTTATCACATTTCCCTTCCAATTTTTTTTGGCAATTTCTTTTTATTATTATTATTATTATACTTTAAGTTTTAGGGTACATGTGCAAAACGTGCAGGTTTGTTACATATGTGTACATGTGCCATGTTTTTGTGCTGCACCCATTAACTCATCATTTAACATTAGGTTTATCGCCTAATGCTATCCCTTCCCCCTCCCTCCACCCCACAACAGTCCCCGGTGTGTGATGTTCCCCTTCCTGTGTCCATGTGTTCTCATTGTTCAATTCCCACCTATGAGTGAGAACATGCGGTGTTTGGTTTTTTGTCCTTGTGATAGTTTGCTGAGAATGATGGTTTCCAGCTTCATCCATGTCCCTACAAAGGAAATGAACTCATCGTTTTTTATGGCTGCATAGTATTCCATGGTGTATATGTGCCACATTTTCTTAATCCAGTCTATCATTGTTGGACATTTGGGTTGGTTCCAAGTCTTTGCTATTGTGAATAGTGCTGCAATAAACATACGTGTGCATGTGTCTTTATAGCAGCATGATTTATAATCCTTTGAGTATATACCCAGTAATGGGATGGCTGGGTCAAATGGTATTTCTAGTTCTAGATCCCTGAGGAATCACCACACCGACTTCCACAATGGTTGAACTAGTTGACAGTTCCACCAACAGTGTAAAAGTGTTCCTATTTCTCCACATCCTCTCCAGCACCTGTTGTTTCCTGACTTTTTAATGATCACCATTCTACCTGGTGTGAGATGGTATCTCATTGTGGTTTTGATCTACATTCCTCTGATGGCCAGTGATGATGAGAATTTTTTCATGTGTTTTTTTCTTCCAATTTTTAATAGATTCAATTTGAAGCCATATTAGCTTATACCAGTTCCAAACTGTTGTAGCTGACTGGCAACTTGTCTGTTCTATAGTTTCGTCGTGTACATACACTACGCCAGGCATACTTCGCTGATACTAATGGTGCAGCAGCAACTCTCCCCGTTAGTCTCTGTCTGCTACAGATTTTCTTCTTGTATTATTTCCAACCTCAGAATTTAGAAATGACTCTTCATATTATCACCTAGCTAAATGTTAGTTGTTTCATACCAAGTAAAAATATATCTGATATCTGGGAAGCTTAATCCAATGACGTTGCTTGTGTGTACTTATTTATACAATTACATTTCTTGTGCATATTGATTTATTTATATCTACAACCTAATTTTGCGCCTGTTTGCTATATTTTGCTTGTTTGTTTTGCTTTCCTCCTCTTCTTTACTATTTTCTTGAAAACCCGTGAAGCAATAATCTGTGATTTATCTCTACTGGTTTGGAAGTTATAAATTGTATTTCTATTCATTTTAGTGGTTAAGCTTAATTTGTAGTTAAGAGAAATTTGAAACAATCTCAAACTTACTGAAAAGTTGCAATTAGAGTACAAAGAACATTGATGCAACCTCTCTGTCTGATACTTTTTTTTTTTTTTGAGAAGGAGTCTCCCTCTGTCTCCTAGGCTGGAGGGCTGCAGTGCAGTGGCGCGATCTCGGCTCACTGCAAGCTCCACCTCCCGGGTTCACGCTGATCTCCTGCCTCAGCCTCCCAAGTAACTGGGACTACAGGTGCCCGCCACCATGCCCGGCTAATTTTTTATGTATTTTTAGTAGAGATGGGGTTTCACCATGTGAGCCAGGATGGTCTCTATCTCCTGACCTCGTGATCCGCCCGCCTCGGCCTCCCAAAGTGCTGGGATTACAGGCATGACCCACCACGCCCGACTCTTGTCTGATACTTTCATGTGTATTTCCTACAAACAAGAACGTGCTCCTACCTAACCGCAATGCAACCATCAAATCCTGGAAGCACCGTTCCTCCTGCATTAGCACCATCTCATGCGAAGGCCTCATTCTCATCTCAACAAATGTTCCAATAATTTCCTTTAGAGAGAAGGGTCCAACTTAGAATCACACATTCTTTATGTTGCCATATTTCTTTAACCTTTTTACATCTGGAAAAATTCTACATTCTGTCCTTGACTTTTATGTCCTTTGACACTTTTGAAGATCATAGGCCAGTTATTTCCCGAAATGTCCTTCGGTGTGGGTTTGCACGGCGTTTTCCTAATTCCTGTCAGGATTCACACTCTGGATCTAACCCTATCACGGCGATGCCTTGTGTTCACTTCATTGCACCCTCTCAGGAGAGGCACAGTTTTGTTTTGTCTCTTATGAATGCTGTTCAGCTTGATCACGTGATGAAGGCTGATGTGCCAGATTCTCCACTGTAAAGTTGCTTGTATTCTCTTTATAATTAAGGAGCACTTTGTGACGAGGGACTTTGAAACTATGAAAATATCTTGTTTTTCTACAAATTTTCAATGTATTATGTTCATGTAGGCCCATGGTTTCCTGTTTTATTTGATAAGTCATAAACTCGCACTACCATTATTTATTTTCATGTTCAAATTGTTCCAAATTTTGTCAGTGGGAGCCTCTTTAAGCAGGCTCCTGTCTTGTGACATGTCCCATCATGTGTTTGCTCACTTCCTTGTGTTTTGGGAGATGGCAAAAGATGTTATCTATGATGGTTAATACTAAGTGCCAACTTGATTGGATTGAAGGATTCAAAGTATTAATCCTGAGTGTGTCTGTGTAGGTGTTGCCAAAAGAGATTCACATTTGAGTCAGTGGGCTGGGGAAGGGAGATCCACCCTTAATCTGGTGGGCACAATCTAATCAGCTTCCAGAGAATATAAAGCAGGCAGAAAAATGTGAGAAGGAGAGATGGGCCTAGACTCCCAGCCTACATCTTTCTCCCAAGCTGGATGCTTCCTGCCCTCGAACATTGGACTCCAAGTTCTTCAGTTTTGGGATTTGGACTGACTCTCCTTGCTCTTCAGCTTGCAGGCAGCCTATTGTGGGACCTTGTGGTAGTGTAAGTTAATACTTAATAAACTTATATATATATATCCCATCTCTCCTTTTCACATTTTCTGCCTATTTTATATATATATATATATATATATATATATATATATATATATATTATATATAGGAGATATACATACATATATAGGATATATATGATATATACATATATATCCTATAGTTCTGTCCCTCTAAAAGAACCCTGACTAATACATCATCTTAAACTTTTCTGCTGAAACCTGGACTCTGTCACATGTGCAAGGAATCCCGACTTCTTCTGGTGGAGAATATTTAGAAGCCAAGGCCTGGGCACTAGGTGTACTGCTTGGTACTGGGTCATCACACATGCATGTGCAAACACACACACAAAATACACATTTATGTCTGTATTTTTATCTGTATTGATCTATAGACACATTGAAAACCATGAGTTCACGCTGATTCCTCCAACTCTAAGCCAATATTTTCAGAGAGTTTGTTTTAGTATCTTTCCCTTCGCAGATTTCTCTCTTCCTCAGTGGTGGGAAACCTGACTCCACTGGGTCTACACAATACCGCATGGAGCCTGCTGCACCCACCACATGCCATGTCCCCATGGCGCCCAGGCCACATGCCCTGCAGGGCTCCCTTCCTTCATGGTCCCCTCTGTCTGCACCCACCCCATCCTTACATGGGGTGCTGTGACCTCCTCGGCCTGAGCAGACACAGCTCACAGTCCAGCTGCCACCTTCCAATTCTCTGTGTTTTAGGTCCTTGAGATTCAGAATATATATATATAGATATATATCTATATCTATATATAGATATATATCTATATCTATATATAGATATATATATAGATATATAGATATAGATATATCTATATATCTATATCTATATCTATATATATATATATATATAGATAGATATATCTATATATATATATATATATATAGATAGATATATCTATATATATATATTTTTTTTAAAGACAGGGTCTCCCTCTGTCCCCCAGGCTGGAGTACAGTGGTGCAATCTTGGCTCACTGCAACCTTGACCTCCTGGACTGAAGTGATTCTGTTGCCTCAGCCTCCCGAGCAGCTGGGATTACAGGTGCCCGCCACCAAGCCTGGCTAAGTTTTGTATTTTTAGTACAGAGGGGGTTTCACCATGTTGGCCAGGCTGGTCTTGAACTCGTGGCCTCAAGCAATCTGCCTGCCTCAGACTCCCAAAGTGCTAGGATTATAGGCATGAGCCACTGAGCCCAGCTGAGATTCAGCTTTATTTTTTTTAAATGTACTTTCACCTGCATATTTCTGGCCTATTTGTTATCATTTTATCCAGTATTTCTAAATGTTTGTAGAAGGAGGCTTTTCATATTATTTACCCATAATATTTTTGAAAACAAGATTCCATTTGGATCATTCTAAAATGTGCCCATATTATAAGTCTTCCCATAAGGACTTCCTTCAGGTCTACGTCATAAATGCCTAAAAGCCTTCCTTAAAGTTACCTTCTTCATCCAGGGCAAGCTTGACCTGTGACCATAGACTGAGAGGAGGGGGTCTGGGACTCGGTGAATTAGGCTGAGTTTTTTTTTTTAAATGACAGTATAGCTTAACATAATTTTGAGATTTAAAAATAAGACAAAAATAAAACATACATGTAAGAGAATATAATTTTTGAAGAATATTTTAGAACTTTTAAACTTGCAGAATTTTAGGACATAGAGACTTCCAAAGCAACCTGATGATACAGATCATCAGCCACCGAGCTGGGATGAAATCCTGGATGTCCCAGTTCCCATCCAGGGCCAGCCCCTTGGAGCAAACACCTTGGCAGCTCTATGTCTGCCGCCATGACACGTTGCCCTCACCTGGAACCCTCAAGATCCTTCTTTTGAAGCCAATGGTCACATGTCCCCTTTTCTGTGAATATCCCTCTGGACAACCACCTTGCTTTGTTGCTCTTATGACTGCTACTCTAATTATTTACCTGCCTCTGTGGTATCCATGCCAAGTGCAGGTATGGTGACAATGTCAGTGAGGCAGCCTGGGGCTTGTGTGTGTGTTGGGGAGCTGGCTCAGGGAGCTCTGGGGGTGGCCCACACAGAGACACACGGGGAGTCTCAGCTATCCTGGCCTCAGCCATCCTGGCACATCACAGCAAGGCATAGGCTGCATTTAGCCTGATCCTGGGATAACAGGTCAAGGTAGGAGACAAAACGTATACTTCGCAAAGCAAACCAGGCAGATGTGAGCCAAGGGACAGTGCTGAGATCCTAGAACAGCATGATTGGGCTTGACCGTGCAACCCTGACTATGGACACAAACATGAAATGTGTCTCCCTTACCATCGTTGCTAACACTGCACTGGGGGAACACCCTCTCCTCCCACACAGTGGCTCCCTTGAACACCTAACTCGCTTCACAACATTTTCAGTCACCTTCATCATTAAAACAGCTGTGTGCCGTTTCTTGGGACATAGTCTTGCTTATTTGTAAATGGTTTTTTCAATTAATTGCATTTTATTGGTACATAATAATTGTACGTATTTGCGAGGTTCATGCGATATTTTGATACATACACACAATGTGTAATGAGCAAATCAGGGTAACTGGGGCATCCATCGCTGCAAACATTTATCATTTCTACAGGAATCTGTCTATCTACAGGGTAGATTCCTGTAGAAATGACATGCTGTGTGGGATTGTCTGCCCAACCAAGGCTGAAATCAGTGGGAGGCCGAGAGGATTAAAGTTAGGACCCTGGAGGCCTGGAGCACACCTAGCCTCTTCTCTCTATGCCTCCCAATTCTCTGGGCTCACTGCCCTGGGGCTGGGGCAAGGAGAGGGAAAGGGAAATGGTGTTTGCTTAGCATTTCTGCCAGTAGTGAGTTTCTGCTTCCATGTTGTTTGTGATCCTAGCCAGAGTGGGTGTATGTGTGATGGTTACATTTATGTGTCCACTTGGCTGGGCCGTGGTGCCCAGGTATGTGGGCGAGCATCATTCTGGATATTTCTGTGAGGGTGTTTTTGAGTCCATAAACTTTAAGTAAAGCAGATGGCTCTCCCCAATGCAGGTGGGCCTCATCTAATCAGTTGAAGGTCTGAGTAGAACAAAAGACTGACCTCCCTAGAGTAAGAGGGAATTCTGCAGCAAGTGAATGAACTGCAGCATCAGCTCTTCACTGAGTCTCCAGTCTGCTGGCCCACCCTGCAGAATTTGGACTTGCCAGCTCCCGTAATCACATGAGCCACTTCCTTAATTTAAACCTCCTATATGTATACACATCATGTTGGGTCTTTAGGGTGTGTGCCCTCCTGAATCCTGAGAGGATTTAGTTCCAAAGACACATCTAGGTATTGCTGTCCCCAAGGAGACTCATGCTCATTGTCCTATGGGGCCACTGCTAGGACACAAGGAGCCCCAGTTCTGAGCCTGTGTGTGGGCAGAATGACCTCCTGGACCCCATGACACTGGAGGCTGAGGGTCCTCTGCCCTCTCTCCATGGCTGCAGCTTCATGTTTCCTCTCCCCAGTGTCCACATCACCAGCAGTGGCTCCTCCCCGTAGCTCAGCGAGCTGGGACTGAGCAGATACCCCAGAGACATGCAGTTACCACCAGGTCCATGGTCTTCTCTTCCCTCAGCTCCAGGGAGAAGAATTATTTAAACACCACTCCCCTTCACAAGGAGTTTGGGGCCAGTCTTTCTCTGTGAGCCCCAAATCCCCGCAAAGAGAATTCCTCACACACCCAGTCCCGTCTTACATCTCTGATTGTCTGACCTTACTCATTTATGGAGACACAGAAAGTCTCACTCTAAGGAAGGAAACTTCTTAGAACTCAGTTCTGGAAAATTTAGTTTAAAAAGTTTCAGAAACAAAAGATCTAAACCGGAATCATGCATCTTTCTGTGCACTGGAATGCAGGATTCAGGCCCAACTAAGTCCCATAAACTTGCAGTTTCTATAAACTGTGCTTGTTTTCACTTTTAAAATATCCGTAATATATATGTAGCACCATCTCCCTGTAGTAGTCCCATCTCACGTTGCTATAAAGAAATATCTGAGACTAGATAATTTATAAAGAGGTTTAATTGGCTTGGGGTTCTGCAGGCTGTACAGGAAGCATGGTGCCGGCATCTGCTCAGCTTCTTGGGAGGCCTCAGGAAGCTTCCAATCATGGCAGAAGGCAAAGGGGGAGCAGATATGTCACATGGCTGGAGCAGGAGCAAGAGAGGGAGAGAGAGAGAGAGACAGTGGGGAGGGAGGTGCCATACACTTTGAAAATGACCAGATCTCCTGAGAACTCTGCATCACAAAGAAAGCACCAAGCCATGAGGGATTTGCCCCCATGATCCAGGCACCTCTGACCAGCCCCCACCTCCAGAATTGGGGATTACAATTCAACATGACATTTGGGTGGGGACAGATATCCAAACTATAACAGACATCTCATAACAAGTAGTGAGGACTATCACCAAGAAAGGCAGAAGAGGGAAGCGTTTACATTTTTCCTATGGATTTAATTTGATACAAACATCTTCACAAGGTGTTGACATCTAGCAGTATAGAGCACTTCTCCATTGTCTCCCTTGTGTGGCAAGATGTCAGGTTCATAGAGAAGGCAGAGGCCAGTCTAGCTTACAGAATTCTAGTGGGTACCATACTGACACTACAGGGACAGCAGGGTTACTTGGCACAGGGGTGAGGGGTCCCTTAGGGTCTCTCTAGGCATCTAGAAAAATGCAAGGTATCTTTCAGAACAGTAAATTGAAAGCTCTCCTTGTATGGGGGCATTTTCCAGTTCAATCCTAATTCACCTGCTTGGCTTGGGATGAAGTTTATGCAGGAAGGCTGAACACATCACCTGGGGACATCTAACAGTGGGAGATATGATTGTGTGAAACCCAGGAGCATATAGTATTTGGAGATTGAGACATGAAGGGAGCTGGCCTCAGGGCCAATGGGGCCCTGGATGAATGGGTGAAACTCAAGGCAAAAACTTATTCCCCAAAAGAGAAATGCCAGGCAGGAGTCCAACCTTAGGGAGGCATGTGATCTTGAGACAGTTTAGAAAAGGACTCAAATTGGGGAATTGGAAGGAAGTAAGGACCCTGTTACCAGAACTGGGATACTGTAGAAAGACGACCTTGTAAAACAAACAGTGGCCAAGCTCGGGTCCGGTGTTCTACCTGGTAATCCTGGTTTCTCTACTCTCTGGCTGTCTCATCTTGGGCAAATGGTTAACCTCTCCTTTTCCAGTAGCTCCCCTGTAAAATAGGGATCACAAAACAACCACACTGTAGGGCTCTGATGAGGATTAAATGAGATAATACATGTAGAGTTTCCAGGACAGCAGCAAACATCAACGGGCCCGTAGATATTAGACATTTTTACTTAAGACAAAGCAGTAGCCCAGTAATTAGAATCAAGGTTAAGGTCAGTTAGGCTAATTTAGCAGCAAGTTTGACTCAGTCTTGTTACTTGAATATTAAGCTTGATTTTCATTAATCCTTGCTATGAATGAACTTAGTCCAAAGTGTTGAATAGAGACAGGCTGGCAGGAGACTGTAGGCTGGGGAGCAAAGAGATATCAAGTCAGAGGATTTGGTGCAGATGTGGCAGCTGGAGTGTGAAGTGGGGTGAAGACTAATGCTGCTTTTAGAGCAACATTTCTGGTGCATTGGGTACTGCCATTTGTAAGTCGGTGCAGTTTGCGTTAATTCCAATCATACCTTGTGTATGACTTAGGGAGCTACTGGGTTTCCTATGTCTTTGCAGGCTGATGAGAGAAACACAAACATGGCTGCTACTCTCTGCCTCCAAGAGCATTTTCCTCCCCTCCCTGCCTCTCCTCCCAAAAGCACTGGAGTGAAGGGAGAGAGTGTAAATTGAAAAGCAAACCCATCGTTCAAGTACATAAAAAAGATCAAATGCAAGGGGAGAGGAGGAGAGGTGTGATGCAGACCAAACATCCCTGCTGTAAAGAGACTTAAGAGGAATAATAGGACTGAGCCATAAAATGTTTATGGTGTCCCAGGAATAATTGAATATTTCCTGGTTTGTTGTGCTGAGATTTTATGAGCCAAACAGGGGATCTTTAAAGCTTATTGTCTTTTGCTCTTCAAAGGTTTAATTAAGGTTGGACTTGAGGCTTAAAGTTGTTTGAAAACTTGGAATTTAAAGTGAAACAGCCCAAGAAACCTATATAACCAGTGAAGCAGGTGTCTGTGCAAGGACTGGATCGGCTGTATGGGTGCCCCGAATGGGAGAATCATTTGGCACCTTCCCAAAAGCAAAATTTCTAATGCTTTTACCTGCTAGTCATTCAGAATGTGCTGAAATAAAATGTTCTATTAGTACAATTTGCATACATATTTTTTAAAATTCCTGACCTTAAATGGGTTGCTTGCTGGTCCTCTTATTTAGCAATAAGGCCAAATCTTAAATCTTTCCCCTATCCCACCCCTCTAGATACAGCTCCCTTTATTGTGTAGGGAATTCATTTCCTTTCTCACTTCCATCTGGCCTGAGACCTTGCTTAGCCATCAGAAACATTCACCACTTAATACATTTTCAATCAGCATTAAATCACAGGTCATTATATTAAGAAAAAGTATTTTTATAGCAATAAAACAATAATATATTTTTTAGATAATAATACCCTTAAGGAGGGATTATATCCAAGTACAAAATAGAGAATTCAGCATATGTTCGGATTAAAACCAGAACAATTTTGTGTTTTACTAATCAGGTATCTTATCACCTTTTGTAGAAACTGAGATTAACTACCATGATATTTGGGGAACATCACACCCCGCGGCCTATTGTGGGGTGGGGGGAGGGGGGAGGGATAGCATTAGGAGATATACCTAATGTTAAATGACGAGTTAATGGGTGCAGCACACCAACATGGCACATGTATACATATGTAACAAACCTGCACGTTGTGCACATGTACCCTAAAACTTAAAGTATAATAATAAAAAAAATTTATAGATTTTTTTTTGCAGGAGTTTTAGATTCACAGAAAAACTGAGCAGAAAGTACAGAGAGTTTCCAAAAACTCTCTGCCCCACACTTGCATAGACTTCTCCATTATCGGCATCCTGTACGGGAGTGGTACGTTTGTCACAATTGACGAATGTGAACACAATCACCAAAGTCCACAGTTTACATTAGGATTCACTCTTGCTGTTGGACATTCCATGCATTTGGACAAATGCGCAATGACATGTATCCACCATTAGAGCATCATACAGACTAGTTTCACTGCCCTACAAATCCTCTGTGCCCCATCTATTTATCCCTCCCTCCCTCCCACCCCGTGGTGACCACTGATCTCTTACTGTCTCCATGGTTTTGCCTTTTTCCAGAATGTCCCATAATGACATACGAAATATAGCTTTTTCATAGACTCATACAACATATAGCTTTTTCAGTCTTTCACTTAGTAATATGAATTTTTCTCTATGTCTTTTTTAAAAAATAGCCTTTATTTTGGGGCGCAGCAGTACTTACTTTTCATTTCAGTGATGATTTGGAGTGGCTTCTAATTGGTAACTCCATCATTCTCTTATCAAAAGTGGTCCGTGCACAGCCTCTTCCTTTAAGAACACGCAGATATGGTCTGACGTTGCTGAAAGCCAGGAGTGGTGGAAATTCAGTTTCCATGTCAGTGGACGTGAAATTACCTTTTGTCACTGTGTGACTTCAGGAGAAATGCTTCTCCTGGTGCAAAGGCTTTGCTAGAAATGAGAAAGTGGAAAAAGATGATGGTGTCTTTAGATACATGCCCAGAGAATGGGCATCGTCCCCTGATTGCTTTTCCATGTTGAGCATGACCTTCCCTTTTATGACCTTTTTTCTTGAAGGGGTTTTCATTAGTTCTTGTTTTTTAACCACCAGAGTTTCTCACTGAGAGAGAACAGATGATAGATTGAAATCTCAGTGTGATGTAGAATTGAGTGCGTCTCTTCCTCTGGTCCTAACACTTATCCCAGGCCATGGTTACCCATCTTCCATTGTACTGTAAGTACAGGAGAGGGCAGAGGGTTGGATGTCCCTAAAGCCTAGTGTGCTTCCTACCTCAGTGCTAAAGGAAAGTCTAAAGCAAACTAATCTCCACCTTACCCCTATATTTCCTTTGAGTTGGAGTTCATTTACCATCTCATGGGTCAATCTAGTACTTCCCTTCCCTGTACACCTGCCTCACCAGAAGCACACTTCTAGTATGTTCAAATGAGCTATGGGCTTATAATCAAATGCTAGGGATAAAAGCAGACACAAGGATATTCTCATTTCTCCAAAGGCAGAAATGACTACCAGGAAGATTCAATCCATCAGGCTCTAGATGAGCCTGCCCTGTCTTTGATTGATGGCAAAGACATTTGGTGCTCAATAAGGCAGCTGAAGTTGCTTCTGCCACAACCATTTCTTTCTTTCTTTATGGTATTTCACCAAGAATCCAAGAAAAATAAGTAACTACATCTCAGTTTAATGTCTTTTCTTCTCTATAGCCACTTGTGTTTTATTAGTCCTCAGCTCTCCGTCCAAATTTCATCTCATCAGAAGGTGTGTGGGCTGATTAACCTCCTGCAATCTTTTAGACATGCCATTTAAAGGTTCTTGTGACACCATCCATTACAGTCACTGGCATCACCTTGTTTGATGAGCAGCAAGAAATTGTCGACACTTTCTAGTTCAAGTTCCTCATTTGCTCGATGAGAAAAGTGAGGTACAAAGAATACTGTAACCTATGCAAGCTACTCCATTTGCTCCCAAAAAAGCTGAGACTAGAAAGTGGCTCTCCTTAATCTCACTCCTACTTTCTTTTCATATGTGTCATTGCTGTATGTTTTTCAAGTTTTATTGAGGTATAATAGATATAAAAGTTTACACATATTTAAAGTATACATTTTCATGATTTTGGATATGTACACACACATGCACATACAACACATACCACACACACACATACACACACACACACACACACACACACACACACACATCCATGATACCATCAGGAACTAAATGTATTTATCACTTTCAAAAATTGCCTTGTGTTCTTTTGTGGTGTTTTGTTTGTTCATGGTAAAGGAACTTAGCATGAGAACTCTTAACATATTTTGAAGTGCACAATACCATATTGTTATACTGTGTTATACCGCAAATCTCAAGAACTCATGTATCCAGCATAACTGAAGCGTCATACTCATCAAGTGACAACTTCTCACTTCCTCCTCCCCTCAGCCTCTGGCAACCACCATTCTGCTTATGCCTATTTTGGATACCTTAGATACCTTGGAAAATGTGTTATACGCTTACAATGCAATATTATTTCAGGCTTAGAAAGAGAAGGAAATTCTATTATTTGCCACAACATGGATGAATGTTGAGGACATGGTGCAAGTGAAATAAGCCAGGCACAGAGAACAGCAACTTCATGATTCCATTCATATGAAGTATTTAAAATCATCAGACTCAGGGAAGCTGTTATGTTTATATTTATTTCAATAAGCAGAGACATGCAGCACTAAAATTTGTGCCAGGCACCATGACAGCAATTATTAGCACTATGAAGTCAGTGATACTGTTATGCCCACTTCACAGAGGGGGAAACTGAAAGAGGTTCTAACTTGCTCGAGGTCACAGAGTATGTGAGTGGTTGTGCCTGATGAGAACACAAGCAGATCTGACTCCAGAGTCCACGTCCCCCCTACCTTCCCATAGCACCACCGCCCCTTGATGGTATGCCCTGATCACAGATTCTGTATGAGATACGGTATCTCCATCTGGAAAGACAGATCTTAGTCAATGATCAATAACAAATCCAGGTTTAACTATGAATCTGTTCTAAAGTTACTTCTTAGGAAAAATTTTCAAATTTTAAAATTCTTTGAGGATCTCAAAAAGTAATCATTTCTCCATACTCATTGCTGCCTGGAGGCTTGAAGAAATGTTAATGTATTTATCTTATGTGTCTTAATTATTCAAAGCATTATGGAAAGAGAACTAGGCTGTTTTCCCTTGCAAATCTCAGCTAGGTTAGTTCTTTTTTCCCCTTTGATATAAAAAGTGATGCCCAGAAACATAATAATTCTGAAAGATGTATTTTATCCCACTGCACCTGCTAAGATTCCTGTGTTATGGGCAAGTATCAACAACTGCCAGGTGCTTTGGCTGCTTTTAGCTTTCTCAGCTATTTTGTGATAGAATGGAGGGAACTGATGTGAAGAAAGACATTGTATTTGATTTTGGAGTGAAGGATAAGTGTTTTTCTTAAATCATTAAGAAAAATCCTACACTTCCTTAGGGCTCAATGGGCACTGCTAATGAAAACGTGAGGCACACGCAGAGAACAGATTGGTATTTCTGAAGTTTAATCTGGGATGTACTCCAGGTTCAACCACCCTTTATGCAAACTTGAGCACATCACAGAAGTTTTTGGTATAGATTCTAGGAAAAGGGCTATTCTGTATGCACACGCTTATGTTGCATGATTGATGTAGAGGTCAAATGTGTGATTCCTGGGTGACAGAGGCATGCATGTTGAGGAGAAGGTAGCAGTGGGCTGCGTGTGGGAAGGAAGACTCTGCTGGATAACTGTAGGTGGCTCACAAGGTGCATGGTAGATCAGAGGGCTTGGCACAGGCAGAGGCCATTCTCAGCCTGGAGAAGAAAGGGGCTGTCATTTCAACACAGAGTCAATCTCTGGGACTTTGGAAGAGGAGAGTGTGAGACATTTATGTTTCTGAATCTGGCCATGAGAGGGTAACTGAAAGCCATGAACAAAATCAGCCAACTATATTCATGAATCCTTGAGAAAATGCCATTTGTGGAAAGCTAATGATGCACAATGTAAAAAAAAGTTATTTTAGACAATTTGGTTACCATTTAAAATGTATCTTTCTAATCAAACTAAAAAATTCAGCCACAAATAGGAATGAGAGGTACAGGAGAAAGAAAGGTGAAGAGTGGAGAGGGATGGCAAAAGGAAATGGGGAGAGGTTGGGGAAGAGGGTCACATCAAGGGAAGCTGGTAAATTGAAAACCTGAGTAATAAGGTCCTTGAGTTGAGCTTCAGCGCACCTGCAAAGTGGAATTTTGTCTTGAAATGAATTCAGGAGAAAAGGCTCAGGCGTGCTGGAGAGCATCAGGGTGATTTTCATGAGCAGGTCAAGGTGAAAGTCTCTGCTTATTCTCTCCAAGAATGAAACCCCAGTGTGTGAGTTTGCTCAGGCTACTGTAACAAATACCACAGGCTGGGGGGCTTCAACAAGAGAAATTAATTTTCTTACAATTATGGAGTCTGGAAGCCCACTAGCCAGATATTGGCAGGTTTTATTTCTTCTGAGGTCTCTCTCCCTGACTTGCAGATGGCCGTCTTCTTGCTGTTCCTCACATGGTTTTCCTTCTGTGCAAGGGCTCTCCTGGTGTTTCTTTGTCCAAGTTTTCTCTTCTTATAAGGACACCAGTCTGATTGCATTAGGGCCCACACCAGAAGCATCGTTTTACTTTCATCACCTTTCAAAGGCCTTGTCTCCAAATACAGTCATATTTTGAGGTACCAGTGGATAGCGCTTCAATATTTGAATTTAGGGATGGGGAGGAGAGACAGAATTCAGCCCATCACGCCCAGGAGGGAGGGAGAACATAGCCCAGTGAGGAAGGTACTGCAATGTATTTAGCATCCCGGTGAAGGAGGCGGGCTTGTGATCTGTACTGAAGGAGCACAAATATGAAATATGAAAAATACAAGACATACAACACCAAAGCACCTTCAACAATACAGTTCTCTGATTATTACCAATGCTACTCTTGGCTCTGTGCACCTTCACAATGGATTCTGATCATGAAAATCCACTGTCTTAGTCTCCTTGTGTTTCTAGAAAAGAAATACTGGAGGCTGGGTCATTTATAAAGAAAAGAGGCTCATTTGGCTCACGGTTCTGCAGACTGCACAAGAAGGATGGTGCCAGCAACTGCTTCTGGTGAGGACCTCAGCCTGCTTCCACTCATGGAGGAAGGCAAAGGGAAACCCCTGTGTGCAGAGGTCACATGGCAAGAGAGGAAGCAAGAGAGAGAGGGAGGGGTGTGCCAGGCTCTTTTTTTTTTTTTTTGAGATGGAGTCTTGCTCAGTTGCCCAGGCTGGAGTGCAGTGGCACGATCTCGGCCCACTGCAAGCTCTGCCTCCCGGGTTCACGCCATTCTCCTGCCTCAGCCTCCCAAGTAGCTGGGACTACAGGCACCAGCCACCACGCCCGGCTAATTTTTTTTGTATTTTTAGTAGAGATGGGGTTTCACTGTGTTAGCTAGAATGGTCTTGATCTCCTGACCTCGTGATCTGCCTGTCTCGGCCTCCCAAAGTGCTGGGATTACAGGCGTGAGCCACCGCACCCGGCCACCAGGCTCTTTTTAACAGCCAGTTCTCAAAGTAGCTGTAATGAGAACTCAGTCACACCACCCCCCCACCCCTGCCGCCAACAAAGGAGGGCAGTAATCTATTCATGAGGGATCTGCTCCCAGGACCCAAACACCTCCCACTAAGCCCCAGCCCCAACATTGGGGCTCAAATTTCAACAGGCAATTTGGAGGGGTCAGACGAAACAATCTATAGCACCCAGGAAGCACCTCAAATATTGACTTTAATCAACACTGCTCTGATTGCCCACTTAGCTACCAGAGAAGACATCCCTACTCTACACGACAGGTAGGCATCTTGTCGTCAAAAAATATTTGTGCTGTGCTGTAAAAATATTAAGGGACTACATCTTAGGATTTGTGTTAGTTAGACCAGAATTATTGCATCTCGAGGTTGTGCTTTGGTGACATCTCGCTAGCTGAGTCAAAACTTAAATGGCAAATGTTATACAGACAAAATACTCATAATAAACCCCTGTTATCAAGTCACTCTCCAGGATGCTGTTGCATGACCAAGGCCTGAACATCTCAATTATTTATAAGTATGAGGAGCCCCTTGCTGTAGCCTGGAGTCTCTATTACACAAATTCTTTTTGTAAGGAATGTTTGCAAACAGGCGCACATTCAGGATATTTATTTGTTCACGTTGTGGCTCTTTAGCTATATTTGGATAGATAGGGTCAAAACTTGCCTTGAGAAACTCACCTGTTATCCTTTCAGCAGGACTGAGTTGTTCTGTTATAGGCAACATGCTCAGTCTTCTTTGCACCTGCCGTCTAACTGTATCTTGGACAAGCCTCAGTCATACCCAGTCTTCCTGAAGCCTGAACACTTGTTAGAAGTAGGTGAAGTAGGGAGGTGATTGCTTAAATAAGGTTTCTGTGCCTGCCTTCCTTAAACGTAGCTAAGGTCAACAGGACGGTAGCCAGAAATTTCTGGCAATTGCTATTTTGCAAATATTTAGAGTGACAGTTACTGTGAGGAGAGAGGATGTAAATGCAACTAAAACTTCTCAATATATTACTAAGGTAGCCTCCTTAATAGTAAAGATCCTTTCCTAGGAAATCAAGGTTCTTTGTTCACCTAACATTTACGGTCCTTTGTCACTTTCCTTTTTTTTTTTCCTTTTTTTAATTTTTAAAAATAAGTATCATTTTGAGCATCTGTTTTCTTGAAAATGGTTCCTGGATATGTCACACATGGCATGGTGAATTATGACAAGAAGAGGTAGCAGAATGGCCAAGGTGAAGATTGTGGGAGCAAATTAGATTTTTTTTCCTCCAGGTTAACACTAGTTTTGTAAATTATAAGCAATTATTGAGCTCGAAACCTCCATCAGGCATGTACGTTTTTCTCTATGTATGCTGCACTTCACTAAAAATATTAGAAGAATTGTAGTTTGCTGAAATTTCCTTGATTCAATGTCTCTGAAAGTATGGGGAGCTATCATTAATAGAATAGTTTTTAAAGAAGGAGCTGCTGTAACCTCCATCAGCCTTACCTAGGTCAATGGAAAAATTTTTGACTTACCCTATTTTGGAGCCCAGATATTTGCACAGAAAGCAGAACATCTATTCTTTGCTCTTCTGCAAATCCTGGACGCCTTTTGTAGAAGTATCTGAGATTCTGTTCTCTTATTTCTTCTGAAGTTCACATCACAATATTTATTTTCTAAAGGGTCTCTATTATTTCTTTTGTATTTTTTAGTTCTCCACCCAAGAGGAGAAACATTTTTGATTGGCACGCCACAGCATTTTTCCTTTTGGCCCACACTGAGAAGGTGTATCGAAACAGAAGTCTATTGATCCCGGTTAGTCCTACATTTTCTAATGTAGGGCACTTCCTAAATCCTCCATTTGGCAAGACCTGTCAGGTTATGTGCTCAGAAAAGGAAGAATCTTGGGGCTCTCAAAAGTGCACTTTGCTTTAGAAGACAAAAGTAAATTTATAAGCAGAATGAGCTTCTGCCATTTTTTAAAAGCAGAGATTTATATGCTAAGGGCAACCAGATAGCCATTGGGGTGGGTTAGTGGATCTGGGCCTCAATGACACACAAGCAAATTCCCTGGATTTTTAGAACAATTGGGCACAGTGTTAGATGAGGATGAACAGACAGCAATATTTGCTTCTGTGGATAAACACAGAACACAAAGCTGAGCCGCAGACTGACCCTGACTGGGCAAAGCCTGTGAAGACCCGGTCCTGAGTAGGGCACATCGTTCAGGGAGCTCTGGAGCCTCATTTCTCCCAACTCAGGTCCTTTCTTCATTCCCACTTTCTCTTTTGGGGCGATTGTGGGAGGTTTCCTTTGTGATTTCAAAGTCTAGTAGTCCTGTCTCCTTTCTCTTCTGCTCTTTTTCCCCTCACCGTGTTCCCCATCTCAGTGTCGGGTATTGGAGCTCCAGGGAGCTGAGAAGCTCCCACGCTTAGACACGTGGTGGCAGGTTGCTACCGACAGATGTGGATTTGATAAGTAAATATATGGAGGACAAGAGGAGCCAGGAGTCTCACTACCAGAGAAGGCAGCTGCACACGTGGAAAGAGAGAATGCTCGAGCAGACCCCGTGGTGCTGGACTGGAATTGAAGGTATTGGTGTGAGCCTGAGAGGGCGTGAGAGCAGAAAACCTAACTAGCAACGAGCACACGGGGCTCCCAGGTCTTGGCTTCTCTAAACCATTCTCCACTAGAAAGATCTAGAGCTCCTTGGGGAAGTGGCCAAATCCAGGACTGGAACAGGGAAGCCAAAGATGAGACTGGAACATTCTATTGTGCTAGCATGTGAGAAAGTGCCATCATCACAGAATGGTGGGGACATGCCAGATGGACACAGAAGCCAATCTGGGGGAACCCTGACTGGCCGGACCTGGGACAATATGATAAAAAAAAAGAAGGTAAAGATAGTAACAGATCAGAACCCTATTTTACACAAATAGGAATGAGTCCCTATGGATGCAGTTGAATAAATGAATAAATAAATGTGGGGAAAAGAAAGATTTTCCTTAGAGTAGAATGCCATCTAATAAATGTAAATAAAATGAGAAATTAGAAAATCATTATAATTAGAAAATGGTAGTAATAGTTCAGCAAGAAATGTCGATGAATGCTATAATGCTAGTAGTGAATGTTTGATGAGGAATAAAATATTTGCAGTGTTGGAGTACCTCCTCAGAAAATACTATTAAGGACAAAGGGACATACAGTAAACTTTACAGCAGAGAACTATACAGACACCACCATAACTAAATGATCAAGTTAGCAACATGATTAATGGTGCAAGTCAAAATTGTGTATCACTGCAGAAAGACAAACACTGTATGATCGCATTTGACTAGGATTTACATTTATTAGGTGGCATTCTACTAGAAGGAAAAGCTTTCTTTTCACTACATTTATTCACTTGCATCCATAGGGACTCAATCCTAATTGTGTAAAATAGGGTTATGATCTGTTACTATTTTTACTTTTTTTCTTGATCATATTGTTCCAGTGTTGTCCCAGGTCCAGCCAGTCAGGGTTCCCCTGGTTGGATTCTTTTTTTTTTTTTTTTTTGAGACGGAGTCTCTCTCTGTCCCCCAGGCTGGAGTGCAGTAGCGTGATCTCAGCTCACTGCAAACTCCACCTCCTGGGTTCACGCCATTCTCCTGCCTCAGCCTCCGAGTAGCTGGGACTACAGGCGCCCGCCACCACGCCCGGCTAATTTTTTGTATTTTTAGTAGAGATGGGGTTTCACCGTGTTAGCCAGGATGGTCTCGATCTCCTGACCTTGTAATCCACCCGCCTCGGCCTCCCACAGTGCTGGGATTACAGGCGTAAGCCAACAAGCCCGGCCTCCGGGTTGGCTTCTGTGTCCATCTGGCATGTCCCCACCATTCTATGGTAATGGGACTTTCTCATATGCTAGCACAGTACAATGTTCCAGTCTCATCTTTTGCTTTCCTGTTGCAGTCCTGGATTTGGCCACTTCTCCAGGGTACCCTGTTCTTTCTAGTGGAGAATGGTTTGTAGAAGTCATTTTTTGTAGAGACAAAAAATAAAAATAAAAAAATTAGCTAGGCATGGTGGCATGCACCTGTGTCACTATGTCACCCAGGCTGGCCTTTAACTCCTGGGCGCCGGTGATCCTCCTGCCTTGGCCTTCCAAGGTGCTGGAATTATAGGTGTGAGCCACTGTACCAGGCCCATAGATTTAGTTTTAATAGGTCAGTCAAATGGTTTTCCAAAGTGTTTGTAGCAATTTACACTCTAACCAGCAATATATAAGATGTTTGTTTTCTCGACATCCTTAACACTTGGTATTTTTAGTTGTTTCTAGCAGGAAAGGCGTGGTATTGAACTTTGAGGGCTAGTGAAGTTGGCACATTTTTCTGTTGATTGGTATTTGAAGCCCTTCTTTTGTGCAGCATCTGCTCAAGTCATTTGTCAATTTTTATCACATGCTTTATCTTTTTCTTAATGATTTCTAAGTGTCCTTTATATATTCTAGATATGAATTCTTTGTTAGATATACTTACGATTATCTTCTTCCACCCTTTGAGTTGCATTTTTTTTTTTTTTTTTTGAGACAGAGTCTTGCCCTGTTGCCCAGGCTGGAGTGCAATGGCGTGATCTCGACTCACTACAACCTCCGACCTCCTGGGTTCAAATGATTCTCCTGCCTCAGACCCCTGAGTAGCTGAGATTACAAGCGCCTGCCACCATGCCCAGCTAATTTTTGTATTTTTGGTAGAGGTGGAGTTTCACCATGTTGGCCAGGCTGGTTTCGAACTGCTGACCTCGTGATCTGCCCACCTCGACCTCCCAAACAGCTGGGATTACAGGCATAAGCCACTGTACCGGCACTGGATTGAATTTTACTCTTGCTGAGGTCTTTTGATGAACAGAAGTTGTTAATTTTAATATGAGTTTTTAACAACTTTTTTTCTTTTACCCTTAGCTTTTTGTTTGCTCTTTTTAAGAAATCTTGCTTGTTCCAAGGTCATGAAGATGTTCTCTATAGTTTTCTCTAAAAGCTTGTTACATCATTTGCATTTAGACATGCAAACCATCTGCTATTGATTTTTTTGTATTGTGTGCTGGGGGTTAGTATATTTCTTTCATATGGATTTAAAATTGGCTTAGCACTGCTTATTGAAAACATCATGTTTTCCCTCACTGCGCTGAAGTCTCATCTTTGTCATAAATCAGACGAATGTGCATGTATGCTTGGGTGTACTTTGGACACCCAAGTTAAAAACCTTTGGTTTTTAATGCACAAGCCTCAGAGAACACACATCTCTCATTATGGAAGGTCTTTTTTTTGGCCAATATTTATATAGGAAAAACTATCTATTTATGTTCCTGAAACTCAATATATATTTTAACAAAATGTGCAGCAAAAGCCTCAATTGCGTCCCAAATGTAATTGGTAGAATGTGCAAATCACTGTGGATGTCGTTAAAAAGTGCTGAGTGTTAAAGGCATTGTGCTTCTCAAATGTTCTTGCTTTTATCTAAGACCCTTTGCGGCATCCAAAACAACGGGTAACAGTCGTGTTGGTGGTTACAGTTTTAACTTGACAGTTTGTTATTTACATGTGGGTGTTTTGCAGTGTTTTAGTGATCTTCAAGAAAATTAGGGGGAGGTATTTTTGTTTCTATGATTTGCCTTAAATACAGTAGAAAATAGGATCTTGGTTTTTATGAAGATGTCTGATTTTCAAGGGATTCTTCTGTTAAGCAGTAGATGCCTGCATTTTGCTCACCAGCTCTCAGTTCTATGTGGACTTAAGGATACCAATGCAGAATTTATTTGCAAGCAATTTAGGACTCTGATTTTGCAACTACGCAAGTGTCCTTTTCAATTCCTTTATTCAAAACAGGATGTGTTAATTTTGGAAAAATAATAGTTAAATGTGTAAGTTTATGAAACCCTAAGCTTAAATTCTGGTTAGACACACCCTGGTTTCCTGTACCTTTTTTTCATTACATATATTTATAATTTTTTCATTTTATATTTATATGCATTTTGAAATTTTACAATAGTTTTAGGTTTACAGAACGTTTGTGAAGATAATATAGAATTCTCATGTAACAGATACCCAGTTTGGGTGATTACTATTTTATATTAGTATGGTCATAATTGTATTGTATATTGTACATAATTGTATGTTAGTATTTGTCATAATTGATGAACCGATATTGACAGGATATGACTAGCTGAAGCCCATACTTTATTCACATTTCCTTAGATTTACCTAATGCCCCCCTTTTTTGCTCTAGGATCACATGAAGGATGCCACATTACATGGAGTGGCCCCATTTCCTTAGGCTTCTGTCAGCTGCGACACTGTCTCAGACCCCTTGTTCTTGATGACCTTGACAGTGTTGAGGAGTATTGATCAGATATTTTGTAGAATGTCCCTTAATTAAAATTTGCCTGATATTTTTCTCATAATTAGACTGGGGTAGTGGGTTTTTTGGAGGAAGACCACAGAGGTAAAGTGCTGTTTTCCTCATATTGTGAAGGGTACATATTGTTAATTATGATTCATGACTGTTAATGTTCGCCTTGATGATTTAGCCGAGGTAGTGTTGGTCAGGTTTTTCCATCGTAGACTGGCTCTTTTTCCCCTTTACCTGCTGTAGTTTTTGGAAGGAAGTCCTTAGTTGTAGTCCACTCTTACGAAGTAGAGAGTTACACACTCTCTTCCTTGAGTAACTACGTAAGTAACTACGTAAATTATTTGGAATTCTTCCACATGAGAGATGCCTCTTTTCCTTCACTATCTATGTATTGGATCATTTATTTATACCAGCATTAATTTTATTTATGATTACTTTATACTTTGGGTGATAATATAATACAACTTTATCTTGTTCAAATCGCTCCAGCTTTGGCCAGTGGAAGCTCTTTCAGTTGGCTTCTGTGCCCTTTTAACGTGCCCCTATTCATGTAGGTTTTGGTGGGGGCTCTTTCTTACTTTTTGGCACTAAAAGAGGCTCCAGGATCATCTTACATATATCTTCTCCTTCAATCCTAGATTCAGTCATTTCTTCAAGGAACTCTGGTTTCTTTTGTTGAAGGTTGATGTTAGAAATCAAGATCTGTATGCTATATGTGTTCACTGCTACTGGAGTGTCATTTCTTTCAGACATTCTCACATGACAACATGAAATATAGTGTTAATGCTAACATATATATTCTATATGTTACCATCTGTATCTAGGTAAAGCTAAACATAAGCTCATCCTGAGGTCACCAACTTTAATCCACTACCACATAGATCATTTTAGCCTCCCCCTTTGCTTAACTGTAACCTCCCACTCCAATAGTAAGAAATCTGACTCTCATTTACTTAATAGTTCGATTAGAGTATAAATGTGTAGCAGTTTCAGAACCTTGAGCCCCTTCCCCCATATGAAACAACTGTATCAACTAGGGAATAGTGCTTATGTGTAGTTCCTTTTGCCTTTAGTCTTACAGACTCCACTCATTTCCAAAGTTACTTGTCTACACATTTCTCCTAACCTCTTCAGTAAAGTATATTCATACTTTTGTAATGCCAGGTATGGGGGAATAATACAGGTCAATTCTTTGGTCACAATATGCATTCCATCCTGGGAAATATAACTTCCTAAATGATTCTTTTAAAATGTAAATACATTAAGGTTCACTTTTCGTGCTGTCTATGGGTTTTGATAAATGCATATTATCATGTAGCCACCATTACAGTATCATAGAAAATAGTTTCATCATCCTAAAAAAAAACCCTATGCTTCATCTTTTTGAGGGCCACCTCAAATCCTCTAGAGTCATTGATCTGCATTGCCAGTGGTTTTCCAGATGGTGTATAAATGGAATCCTATAATATGTAGACCTGGACAATATGCATTTGAAATTTATTCACGTCTTTTCCTAGATTGATACCTCATTTTTTTTTAGCAGTGAATAACAGTCATAGTGTGGATATGGCACAGTTTATTGATTTACCTATTGAAGGACATCTTGGCTACTTCTAGGTTTTGGTGATTATGAATGAACATGTGCTGTAATATGTACATGCATGTTCAGGTTTTTTTGGTGTGGACACGTATTTTCAAATTGGTTGGGTAAATACCTAGGAGAGTCATTGCTGGATCATACATGGCAAGACTGTGTTTAGCTTTGTAAGAAACTGTCAGTCTTCCAACATGGCTGTACCATTTTGCATTTCCACCAGAAATGGATGAGAATTACTGTTGCTCTACATCCTTGCCACCTTTTTGTTTAATTTATTCTTTCTTTTGCTTTCCTGTTTTCAATTGCATTGATTACTGCTCTGATAATTATTATGTCCTTCCTTTGCTAGCTTTGAGTATATTTTGTTCTTCTTTTTTATAGATTCTGTGGGCAGAAAGTTATGTGACTGATTTAAGACTTTTCCTTATTTCCAGCGTAGGGATTTTGGTGCCACAAATTTTCCTTTCAGCATGGCTTCGGTTGTGTTCCAAAATTTTTGATTTGTTCCATTATTGTTTTTCTTCAGTTAATGCCTTTTTTATAATATTTCTTGAGGCCTATTATTTTACTCATGGATTATTTAGAAGTGTGTTCTTTAGTTTTAAATATTTGGAGATTTTCCTATTATCTTTCTTTTTTTGTCCTGGTTTAATTGTAATCAGGAACATACTCTATGATGTCAATTTTTTAAAATTTTATTAAGGTTTATCTCATGCCCAGGGATGTAGTCTATTTTCATATTTTTTTGTGAGAACTTGAAAGAAGATGTATTCTGCTGTTGTTAGTTAGAGTGTCTTATAAATGTTGATTGAATCCTGTTGGTTGATAGTGTTGTTGAGTTCTTCTATATCCTTGTTGATTTTCTGTCTAGTTCTGTCAATTGTTAAGAAAGAGGTGTCGAAGCCTCCAACTATAATTGTGGATTTGTTTATTTCTCCTTCTGATTGTATCAATTTTTGCTTCTCATATTTTGCAACTCTGTTGTTTGGTCCATATGCATCATTTATTGAGCTTCGTATTCCATTACTATAATATTCAATTCTAAAATTACCATTTTTTAAATTTATACCATCTATTTCTTCACTGAGACATCATATTTTTGTTTAGGCTTTCTAGTTTTAAGTTTGTTTTTATTTTTTTTAAGCATATTTGTAATCGCCCTTTGAAACATTTTTATTACACTGCTTTAGAATCACACTAATTCTAACATCTCTGTTATCTGGTGTTGGCATCTATTGATTTTATTTTTGCATTCAGTTTAAGATGACCCTGATTCTCAGTGTAATGAGTAATTTTCATTTGAAACTTGAACATTTTTGTATTACATTCTGAGACTATGGATCTTCTTTAAGCCTTCTGTTTTACCTAGCTTTCTTTGACATTTCTCTGACAGAGGGTGGGGCAGGGGCACCACCTCCTTGCTGCCAAGTAGGGGTGAAGTTTAGGGTTTCCAACTCTGCCTCCACTGGTGACCGAGGGTGAGCCCCTCATTCCTGCCTTGTGGGTTTGGGAGTTCTGGTTCCCTGCGCCGTCTTCCATGACACTGCTGTGGGGACACCTGGTTACTACTGGGTGATGGTGAAAGTCCTGACTTTCCACTAGGTCTACTTGACACCAACCCAGTAGTGAGGAAGAGGGACTCCTGTTTACTGCCAGGTATGAGTGTAAGTCCAGGTTCTTCATATGGTCTCCACTGACAGAGTGGTAGTGGGTGGACACTCCCTACCAGATGGTGGGATGAAAGTACTGGCTACCTATTTGATCTTCTCTGACATTACCCCAGCGGGAATGTTGTCGTGTCTTGTAACATCTTTGCAAGGATGGAAATTTAGGCTTCCTCATCCAACCTTTGCTGATATTGAGTAGAGGTGAGGCCACAGATTTGCTGTGTGTTGGCTAGAGTAGAGCAGTCATTGCCTGAAGATTTTCTGTTTTTCCAAAAAGATTTTTCCTTTGTCCTTTGGCATTTCTGGGGTGTCAGTTTCTTTAGCTTCTAGTCTGGAATTTATGAAACACAAAGAAAATCCAGGGAACTCAGCACTACGTTATTCTGCAGAGCCCATGCCTTAGTCAGGCTGCCTTCTCCCCTCTACCTTTCAGAGTCTTCTTGGGTTTTTAGATGTACTTAGTGGAAAAATAGGGGAAAGTACACTAACTTTATCTTCTTCAGAAGCAGAAATTCCTTGATCTAATTTTTATTATTTCTTTTATTTCTACTTGATTTAGGCTTATGTTTGATTTCAGTTTCTTAAGGTGAAAGCTTAGATTATTGGTTTGAGATATTTCTTCTTTAATAATATATGAATTTAATGCTAGAAGTTTCCTTCCAAGCACATGCTTTCACTACTTCCCACAAAGTTTAGTAATTTGTATTTAATTTTTATTTAGTTCCAAATAAATTTTGATTTCTCTTGAGACATCTTTTACTCATGGATTATTTAGAAGCATACTGTATAATTTCCAAATATTTTGGGATTTCCTGGTATCTGTTACGGATATTTAGTTTAATTTCATTGTGCTCTGAGAACATACAGGTATACCTTGCTGGATGGCACTTTGCAGATACTGAGTTCTTTACAAATTGAAGGTTTGTGGCAATCCTGCATTGAGTGAGACCGTTGGCACCATTCTTTCAATAGTGGGTGCTTGTGTTGTGTCTCAGTGTAATATTTAGTAATTCTTACACTATTTCAAACTTTTTCATTATTATTATATCTGTTATAGTGATCTGTGATCATTGATCTTTGATGTTACTATTGTAGTTGTTTTGGGTGTCATGAGCTCTGACCATATAAGATGGCAAACTTAATTGATAAGTGTGGTGTGTATTCTGACTGCTCTACTGACCAACCATTTTTCTGTCCCTCTCTCTCTCTATCTCTTTGGGCCTTGCTATTCTCTGAGACATAACAATATTAAAATTAGGCCAATTAATAACCCTACGATGACCTCTAACTGTTCAAGTGAAAGTAGAGTCACACATCTCTCACTTTAAATAAAAAGCTAGAAATGATTAAGTTTAATGAAGAAGGCTTGTTGAAAGCTGAGATGGGCCAGAAGCTAGGCCACTGTGCCAAACAGTTAGACAAGTTGTAAGTGAAAAAAAAGTTCTTGAAGGAAATTGAAAGTGCTACACCAGTCAATGCATGAATGATAAAAAAAAGTGACACAGCCTTATTGCTGATGTGGAGAAAGTTTGAGTGGTTTGGATAGAAGATCAAACCAGCCACAGCATTCCCTTAAGACAAAGCCCAATCCGGAGCGAGGCCCTAACTCTCTTTATTTCTATGAAGACTGACAGAGGTGAGGAAACTGCAAAAGAAAAGTTGGAAGCAAGTAGAGGTTGGTTCAGGAGGAAAGATGCTGTCTCCATAACATAAAAGTGGAAGGTGAAGCAGTAAGTGCTGATGTAGAAGCTGCACAAGTTGTCCAGAAGATCTAACTAACATAATTGATGAAGGTGGCTGCACCAAACAACAGATTTTTCAATGTTAATGAAACAGCCTTATTTTGGAAGATGCCATCTAGGACTTTGACAGCTAGAGAGGAGTCCATGCCTGGCTTCTAAGCCTCAAAAGACAAGCTGACTTTTTTTTAGGGGCGGATACAGCTGGTTACTTTAAGTTGAAAGCAATGCTCATTTACCATCTCATAAATCCTAGAGTCCTTAACAATTACACTAAATGTACTCTTCCTGTGTTGTCTACATAGAACAACAAAGCCTGGATGACTGCACATCTGTTTACAGCATGGTTTGCTGAATATTTTAAGCTTACTATTGAGACCTGCTGTTCAGAAAAAGATTCCTTCCAAAATATTATTGCTCATTGACAATGCACCTGGTCACCCAATAGCTTTGCTGGAGATGTACAAGGAGATGAATGTTGTTTTTATGCCTGCTGTCACAACATCCATTCTACCACCCATGGACCAAGGACTAATTTCAACTTTCAAGTCTTATTATTTAGGAAATACATTGCATAAGGCTATAGCTGCCATAGATAGTGATTTCCTGGTGGATCTTGGCAAAGTAAAGTGAAAACTTTCTGGAAAGGATTCATCATTTGGGATGTCATCAAGAACATCCATAATTCATAAGAGGAAGTCGATGTTTCAGTATTAACAGGAGTTTGGAAGAAGTTGATTCCAACCCTTGTGAATGACTTTGAGTGGCCAAAGACTTCAGTGGAGGAAATTGCTTCAAATGTGGTAGAAATAGCAAAAGAACTAGAATTATAAGTGGAGTCTGAAGATGTGACTGAATTGCTGTGATCTCATAACAAAACTTGAACATATGAGGAGCTGCTTCTTAGACATGAGAAAAGAAAGTGGTTTCTTGAGATGGAAACTACTCCTGGTGAAAATGTTGTGAACATTGTTGAAATGACAACATAAACTTGGTTGATAAAGCAGCAGCAGGGTTTGCGAAGATTGACTCTAATTTTGGAAGAAGTTCTACTGTGTGTAAAATGCTATCAAATAGCATTGCATGCTACAGAGAAATCATTTGTGAAAAGCAGGGTCAATTGACAAAGCAAACTTTATTATTGTCTTATTTTAAGAAATTGCCACAGCCACTTCAGCAACTACCACCCTGATTAGTCAGCAGCCATCAACATCAAGGCAAAACCCTCCACCAGCTAAAAGATTCTGACTTTCTGAAAGTTCAGATGATCATTAGCATTTTTTAGCAAGAAAATATTTTTAAATTAATGTATATACTTTTTTTTCCAGACCTAATGATATTACACACTTAATATATTACAGTATGGTATAAATACAATTTTTATATGCACTAGAAACCAAGAAATTTGTGTGACTCGTATTATTGCAGTATTCACTTTATTGTGATGGTCTGAAACCAGACTCACAGTATCTCCAATGTATGCCTATACTTTGTATGATTTCTATTCTTTTAAACTTGTTAAAGTGTTTTTTATGGCTCAGCATATGGTCTATCTTGGTGAATGTTCCACCCAAGCATGAGATAAACCTGCTGTTTTGGATGGCATATCCTATAAATTAGATGAGGCTGATTAATAGTGGTATTCAGGTCATCTATATCCTTATTGATTTTCTGTCTGCTTGGTCTATCAATTACTGACAGATGTTTACAGAAGTCTCTAATAAGGTTTGGCTCTGTGTCCCCACCCAAATCTCATCTCAAATCGTAATCCCCACGTGTTGAAGGAGGGGCCTGGTGGGAGGCGATGGAATCATGGGGGCAAACTTTCCCCTTGCTATTCTCATAGTAGAGATCTCATGAGATCTAGTTGATTGCAAGTATGTAGCACTTCCCCTTTCACCCTCTCTTCTTCCCGCTGCAGCCATATAGGACATGCTGACTTCCCCTTTGTCTTCTGCCATGATTGTAAGTTTTCTAAGGCCTCCCCAACCATGCTTCCTGTACAGCCTGTGGAACTGTGAGTCAATTATGTATTTATAGCATTATGAGAATTATGTCTTTATACAGTCTCCAATTATAATGGTAGATTTGTCTATCTCTCCGTTAAGCAGTGGCAGTTTTTTTTGAGTCACGTGTTTTGATGCTTTTTTATTAGATGCATACATCTTAAGGATTGTTATATCTCTTGGATAATTTACCTCTTTATCATTAAGTAATGCCCTCTTTTATCCCTAGTAATAGTCCTTGTTTTGAAGTCTGCATTGTCTGTAATTAATATGCCTACTGTAGCTTTCTTTCGTTAGTATTAGTATGGCAAAGATTATTCTATTCTTTTGTTTTTAACCTGAGTTGCCATATTTGAAATGGGTTTCTTATAGATAACATTTAGTTTGTTCTGTTTGTTTTTTAAGTGGCTGAAAATCTGTTGATTGGTATATTTAAACTATTTATGTTAAATTAATTATTGACATACTTGGATTAATATGTGCCACTTTTTAAACTTTATATTTGATGCCTTTGTTTTGTGTTTTATTTCCTCATTTATCTGCCTTCTGATTTTTAATTAAATATTTCATATAAGTCCATTTTACTTCCTTTCTTAGCATATCAATTATATGTCTTTTTACAAATTTTTGTGGTTGCCCTAGAGGTTGTAATATAATTTTTAACTAATATTTATCCTTCTTCCACCTCCTTCCAATAACATTATACTATTCCTCACGTAGTGCAGGTGCCTTACAAGAGAGTATTTCCAATTTCTTATTCCTTGAGATATTGCTCTTATTCATTTTATTAATCCATGTGCTTAATCACTCAATACATCATTATTACTCATGCTTTGGACAAACTATTATCTTTTATATAAATTAAGATGAATTAATTACTTTATTACCTTTATTTCCTCTGTGTTGCTCTTTTTTCTTTATGTAGATCCATGTTTCTTCGACTTATATCACTTTCCTTCTGCCTGAAAAACTTTTATCATTTCTTTCAAGGCAGGTCTGCTGGTGTTTTTTTTTTTTTTTTCCTGTTTTTGTTCATCTGAGAAAGCATTTATTTCTTCTTCATGTTTGAAAGATAGTTTCACCAAATATAGAATTCTAATTCTGGTTTTATGTTGTTTTCTGTCAATCCTTTAAGAATTTCACTCACTCTCTTCTTTCTTGCATGGTTTCTAATGAGAAGTTTGCTGTAATTCTTATCCTTGTTCCTATACAGGTAACATCTTTTATCCCTCTCTGGCTTTTCAGAAGATTTTCTGTCCTTGATTTAAAATTTTTGATTATTATATACCTAGTTTCATTTTGTTTTAGTTTAGTTTAATTTGTTTGTTGCATTTATTCTGGTTTGTGATCTTTGAGCTTCAGGAACTGTGATTTGATGTCTTCCATTAATTTTGGAAAGTTCTGTGACATTATTACTTCAACTATTTCTTCTGCTCAGATATCTCTTCTTCCTCTGGTATTCCACTTACATGTACTTTTTCCCTAGTAGGTGAGAAAGGAAACTAGAGGGTGTTGGAGTGGAAAGAGATCCCTTCTACCTGCTGGATAAATTTCTGGCAAAATATTTTCCTCTAGAAAGCAGGCTTGTGTTGTGGAAACTACTCTGGGCATATTATATAGTTTATCTCTCTGCCAGAGTCATATGTGCATTTTTCCCAGATCTTCATCATGTGAACTTGGTGGAGTTCTCAGAAGTAAAGCTCAAGGAAGTGTGGCTGCATTCCACCTCCAATAGTGTGGTTTCAAGACGTTTATTATTCTTATGCTCGTCATACTCAGCATCCAGCTTGATTAATGGATTCATCAAAATGTTTAAGTGTTGAATTTAAGTGTGTTTGCCAGTTTTAACTTCTGCTCCAGGTAACAGATTTCAGCTGTGACTCCCTATATGTTTCTCCAGAATCTGGGGAGAGGTTGCCCTACTATCTCACTTCTCTAATAAGTTCAGTAAGAGTCATTGATTTTCACTTTGTCCAGATTTTTCCTGCTGTAAGAAAAAGAGCGATGACTTCCAAGCTCTTCACATGCTGGAGGTGAAACTGGAAATCTTTCACACTACATTTTCATCGTCATTTATTTGAGTTCATTACAGAAAGAGACTGTATCTTCAAGATCTAGAATGCTAAGTGAAAAAAGATTCAATTATGATCATTGGTTAAATATAGTAAGTGCTCATTAAAAATAGCTATTATTATTACCATTTAAAAATATTGAAGCCTCCCCAAAGATTAAGCAAATTAACTTATTAATCAATAAGCGGAAGATGTTATCCCAGGAACTTTGATCCAAATGTCATATTCTTCTGGTCTGGTGTGGTGGCTCACGCCTGTAATCCAAGTACTTTAGGAGGCTGAGGCAGGCAGATCACTTGAGGTCAGGAGTTGAAGATCAGCATGGCCAACATAGTCAAACCCTGTCTCCACTAAAAATACAAAAAATTAGCCAGGCATGGTGGCACACGCCTGTAATCCCAGCTACTCGGTAGGCTGAAGCAGGAGACTCACTTGAACCCAGGAGACAGAGGTTGCAGTGAGCCGAGATCGTGCCACTGCACTCCAGCCTGGGCAACACAGCCAGATTGAATCTGAAAAAAAAAATCATATTCTTCCTATAAAACAGAAAACAATAAAATTCTTTTTAGTTTAGTGTATATTATGCTGCATTTACTAAGTGATACATATAACTGAAAAGAGAGGAAAATAATAAGTGCTGAAGTAACGGTGGCTAAATTTATACAAGTTATTTTTAGAATATATATACAGGGTAAGACTCACTTGGTTGAAGGAGAGAGTGTACTTTAGATGTTTTATAGAAAGCAGAGTAAGCAAAATGAGTAGTATTGTTTGATGGGACATGAACTATCATATGACATGAAGCTAGGGAGTAATATGGAACTAAGATTCCTATTTAAAAATAAAAATAATTCCATCTTGTGATTTATAAATCCTGACAAGTAGTTCTCTTTTTCACATAAGAATGACCAGGCCATTAACTCTTTGATGTGCCATAGCCATGGCATTTATTACTGATGGTGCCATCCTGTCTTTGTCTGAGCATTTGTCTTCCCTCCTACACTGTGAGGTCCTGGACATTGGGAACCAAGACTTAGAAAGGGCACGTGGAGAGAATGGATGCATGCAGGCTATGCAGGGTGGCAGGCCTGTTTCTGCCTGGAGATGGGTGCGTCAATACTCAACAGCTCCTAAGGATGAGCTAACATACATGTGCCAATTGAAATTACAAACTGAAGAAGGGCAATGCTAACCAAGAGAAGCATGATGCAGCAAAATGATTTCACCATGAATGACCCAGCTAAGTCATTGCATTAAGTAATGACGTGAAAGCTTCCCTGAGATGTGCCTTTAGTAAAACCACTCAAATGTGCTTTGGGCTTGCAGAGTCCTCCTCATCCTATGATCAAAGCCTGGGAGCTAGAGATGGACTTGTTTTCCTCATCTATAACCTGATATACAAAAGATACCCAGAGAGGAGATGCCACTTGCTTGAACTAGACATGTTGTTCCTCTTTGTCGGCCCATAATTGTGCTTCTCTCAACTCCTCTGGACTGTCAGCTTGAAGATGAGTTAGCCTGTGGGGTGTGGTTTGAGAGGCCGTCATCGGATGGCCTTGAAAATTTGGGGTATAGTCTTTGATCCAGCTCTTTTCCATGGCATTCTCTGAAGTGAATTCCTTTTGTCCCCCAAACTCGTAATTTCTTTCTCATCTTAAAGAGTCACCTTCTGCCTCAGACCCTAAAATAATGTAGATCTTAAGCCTCCCAAGTGTGGCTATGAGGTAAATATAGACGTAGGATTTAGATAAAACCATAGATTGATAAAACAATTAGATTTATTAAACAATAGTGCAAGATATTTAATAGGCCATCCCTAGAGGTTGTGTACTCTCAAATGTTTTCCACTGTTAGAGGCCTTCTCAAGCACCCATGATGGAGATCTAACCTCAACTTGAATTGTTTCCTCTTCTTGATTTACAAGTCACCTTAGTAATATTGTGAAGTACCTGGAGTGGTTAGAAGTTCCTGGGGAATGAGTCTGCCTCAATAGAAGAAAGAACTTGCTACATTTCCTTAAGGGGAGGTAGGAATGGCTGGGGCTACCAACTCTGATATTGGACATTGATGTTAGGGAATAAAAGGATGTTTCAGACAAATAGTCTCTTGCAGCCTCTTTCAGAGATACTAGACTCAGTAGCCCTAGGCTCACGAACAAGGTGATGAAGAATAAGCTCAAACTTCGAAAATAAAGGCTAGGACTGGGCATAATGGACAGGAAGAAGACAAGAAGTGGGACATGGAAATCAGGATTAAGGCAAAACAGTGCAGCAAAGCCAGCCAGGCATTCAGGAACAGCGACTTTGTTAAGATCTACCTTAATCTCCTAGTTGGCTCTGATCCACTGGGACATTTATTCCGGCTTTATTATGTGGCCATGTGACTGTGGGAGCTTAAGGTAGGTAAAAAGATTTACTCTGTTTAGGCAAGCCATGGCAGATGAAAAAGAGATTCATTCCTCCTAGAAACATATAATCTTGCTTCAGTCGACTTAAGGAAAGGAAAATGTTTTCTCCTGGAAATGTAATTACTGTGGCTATTCCATCATACATTTATACTTTCACTTTTTCCCTAAAGACTTTTTTCTCCTGCTTGGAGATGTTGCAGAATCCATTAATTTGATATGATGCAGGTTGTTATAAGTAATCTTTCTTTCTGTCATAACTTGATGGAAAATGTTAAATTTTATATATTAGATTTGGGAAAACCACTTTCTCATCTTCTTCAACTAATTGCACATGATAATGTGTTAACTATGAATATAAATAGAATGTCAAGACAATTCAGGAAAAAATGCAATTATTTTTAGAGTAAAACTGAGAATCTATTTGTGTTATCAGGGTTGGTTTTTTCTGTGGTGTCTCTTTTCTCAGGCAGGATCTCTAGGTTGTCCACTCTAGATATTGAATGCTTACGGAGGAGAGAGAAATCCGAGGCCACCTAGGGTAGATAAGAGCTTAGCCTTATTTCCATCTGTTTGACACACAACCAACTGGAGGAAATAGCAGAACACCCCTTTTCCTCTCTTTTGCATCAATGATTTCCATATATTCTCATTATGTTTAGCAAACTTCTTAAGCAGTTTTCTTTTTAATTTTTTTTTTAATTTCAATAGTTTTGGGGGTACAGGTGGTTTTTGGTGACCTGAATAAGTTTTTCGGTGGTGATTTCTGAGATTTCACAGGAGCTGTCACCTGAGCAGTGTACACTGTACCCAATATGTCGTTTTTTTGTTTTTGTTTTTGTTTTGAGACAGAGTCTCGCTCTGAAACCAGGCTGGAGTGCAGTGGCGCAATCTCAGCTCACTGCAACCTCTGCCTCCTGGGTTCAAGTGATTCTCCTGCCTCAGCCTCCCAAGTAGCTAGGACTACAGGTGCCCGCCACCACTCCTGGCTTTTTTTTTTGTATTTTTATTAGAGACAGGATTTCACCGTGTTGGCCAGGATGGTCTCGATCTCTTGACCTCGTGATCCACCCGCCTCGGCCTCCTAAAATGTTGAGATTACAGGTGTGAGCCACCGCGCCCGGCCTATGTTGTCTTTTATCCCCCTCCCTAACCTTTTCCCCACTGCCCAGTGTCCGAAGTCCTCATAGCTTCTTAAGCAGTTTTCAAGTTTGGAGTTTGCTTTTGCTTATTGGGCTACAGCTGCAGCATCCTAATATTCTTTTTCTGTTATCACTGAGTTTCAGTCTTCCCCTCTAAATGCATCTGGACAGGCTCAGAGCTGGAGAAACAGGAAGTCCAGAAGGGCAGAAGGTGACATTTCTGGGCTGCAACTTAAACAACCCAGCCTTGGCCATAACTTTATTTCTTCACCTACCCTTGGTATCAAATATCCAGCCAAACATTAATATATATGACACATCTGTCTTCCTTTTTTTTAACCTTTTAAGCAAATATTTATCAAAATCCTACTATGCTGGGCTCTGTGCTAGCTACTGGTGCAGAAAAAGAAACGGACAGAAACCTAACCAATGTGGATAAGAACAGTCGGTCGTGAAACAGGGCTTGAGGCAGCCCGAGAGCCTCACCTTGGGAGATCAGGTCCCGAGACTTGGGTGTCCACAGTCCCCTTGCCAGGATCAGAGGCACAGCTAGAGCATTTTCTTTCTTTTTCTTTTTCTTTGAGGCGGGGTCTCTGTGGCCCAGGCTAGAGTGCAGTGGCACAATCACAGCTCACTGCAGCCTTAACCTCCTGCGCCCAGGTGATCCTCCCACCTCAGCCTCTGGAGTAGCTGAGACTACAGGTGCATGCCACCACACCTGGCTAATTTTTTGTATTTTTTTGTAGAGATGGGGGTTTACCATGTTTTCCAGGCTGGCAGAGCATTTTCTAGTAGTAGAAATGAGCCAGATGTTGGATATATAGAAACAGCACTAGTCCGAGTATGGGGTCTTTCCTCTTATTGCTAGGCATTAGCAGTGCAATTTAGGGAAGATGCTTAAAATTATCTCCAGGCTCAGTGTTCTCATCCAGCAAATGAAGGGGCTTAAATATAACTTAGCAAATTCAGCTCCAAAATTTTACCACATACATAACAATGTACATATGTGTGTGTATTTGGTCTGTAATTATTATAAATATGAAGTTAAAATATACAGTGAACTCTCTCACCTGTTGTTTTGGGCCTGCTGCATTGCCTTCTCATTTTTCCACCATTTTTTTTTTTCTGCTTTCCCTCTGTTGAGGTTCATCTCACCATCATAACAAAACTGCTTCACTTTGCTTAAAGTTAGTCCTCCTTTTAAACTTTGATTTCTGCTACTCATTTTTCCTTTTTTTTTTTCCTAAACAGGGGGTCAAGAAAGGAAGAAATCAACAGAGCAAAATTATACATTTTGGTCAATAGGTTTCTTTTAATTGTGTTTGTTAAAGTCCAGCCTCCTTATATCCTATTTAATATATTCCATTGAGATCATTTTCAATCTTGAAGTTCCTTCTCATTTTTTCCATTAAAGAAAAGGTGAAGCTAATTTCTTGCTTTTAAAAAAATTAATAGCAACGATTATTATTGGAATTACAGTAAAGGCAAAATGGAGAGTTATTATGAATTGCTGACATAAATCTCTTTTGGGGAAAATGTACAAAAAAACTAAGACAATGGGTGTTTTGTTTTGTTTTTTTTTTTTGAGACGGAGTCTCGCTCTGTCGCCCAGGCTGGAGTGCAGTGGCGGGATCTCGGCTCACTGCAAGCTCCGCCTCCCGGGTTCACGCCATTCTCCTGCCTCAGCCTCCCGAGTAGCTGGGACTACAGGAGCCCGCCACTACGCCCGGCTAATTTTTTGTATTTTTAGTAGAGACGGGGTTTCACCGTTTTAGCCGGGATGGTCTCGATCTCCTGACCTCGTGATCCGCCCGCCTCGGCCTCCCGACAATGTGTTTTTTTGTGTGTGTGAGACAGAGTCTCGCTCTGTCACCCAGGCTGAAGTGCAGTGGCGTGATCTCAGCTCACTGCAGCCTCCACCTCCCCGATTCAAGTGATTCTCCTGCCTTATTCTAGTCACACTGGAAGCTGATTAGAAGGTGCCCACCCAGATTGAGGGTGGGTCTGCCTCTCCTGGTCCACTGACTCAAATGTTAATCTCCTTTGGCAATACCCTGAGACACACCCAGGAGAGATACTTTGCATCCTTCAATCCGATCAAGTTGACACTCAGTATTAATCATCACACTTCACCTATTCTATGATTTTAATGGCTTAGTCATTGCCTCAGAAGATGCAATTCTCATTTCTCTTTTGTATATTTTCTATTCTTTCATAATCAGCACCTACTAATTTTTAAGAATTTTTTGACTCTAACTTCTTGCAGGCTTTCTTTTCTACATATATTTTTAATGTTTATTTAAAACACAGCTGAGACCATATTATTGAGGGTACAGCTTTTATATTTTGTAAACTGTTGGTTTGATGGCTATGTTATGAAATATATATGAAATATCTTTTCTTTTGCACTGACTTTCAGAATTCTTTAAGGGCTGTTTTGTTTGCGTTAAGTCCTAGTTACCATCTGTGGGCTTCCAGATCCATGAAGATTTCTGTGGGGGGAAACTGTTATATTTACCTCCTTAGTGAGAAATACAAAATGATTTAAACATCCCCTTTGGCCTTAGAGGGAAGATAAGAAATGGCAGCAAAAGATGCATGGATGTGTAGGTTCACCCTGGCGTCTCTGGAGTCAGAGGGAAGCTCTCCTCTGTTCTACCCAATGTGACCCCTGTCCTCTTCCACTCCTTGGGAGGCAGAGCTGTCTCTGTTTGGTAGTGGAGAATAGTTCAAACTTGGGTGTGAGACAGCCCAGATTTGAATCTTCACTTCCCCATTTATCAGCCATGTCTCTAACTTCCCTCAGGCTCAGTTTCCTTATCTATAAAAGGGCATAATCATACGAGCCACCTTGTGGATTTATTCAAGGATATGTGATAGCATGAAACACTTCGCTCAATGCGTGGTACCCATTAAGAGTTCAATAACATTAAAAACTATTTGGCAGCTGCTATCCTTATTTGTTTTATTTCATTATCATTATCATGATGTTTTTTGTGTCTCAAAGCCTGTCTTTGAATAGGCTTTTTCAGTTCTTGGGATTCCTGGCAGGTGGATGACCCAGTGTTTCACTTGGACATCATATTTTAGCCGCAGCTCAGAGCAGACACTGAGAAGGCTCCTGGTGGCTGCTGCGCACCACCTGAGGAAGACACTTTTTTCATGGGCGATATGGTTTGGCTCTGTGTCCCCACCCAAATCTCATTTTGAATTGTAATTCCCACATGTGGAGGGAGGGACCTGGTGGGAAGTGACTGGATTATGAGGGCAGATTTCCTCCTTGCTGTTGTAGTGATAGTGAGGGAGTTTTCTCAAGATCTGGTTGTTTGATAAGTGTCTAGCACTTCTCTTCTCACTAGCTCTCTCCTGTCACCTTGTGAAGAAGGTGCTTGCTTCCCCTTCACCTTCCGCCTTGGTTGTAAATTTCCCGAGGCTCCCCCCATGCCATGCAGAACTGTGAATCAACTGAACCTCTTTTGTTTATAAATTACCTAGTCTCAGGCAGTATCTTTATAGTAATGTGAAAACTGACTAATACAATGGGAGAGTTCTTTTAATGTACACCTCTGTGTCCCAGTAGTGTTGTTTTAGAAGTCAAAAGTGCTGGTCAGACCAGAGATAGGGTGCTGGCCAGTCAACTCCCCTTTTACCAAAGGCACTTTCCCAGTCATTCCCATCTATCAGCAATGCACTTTTGAGAAGTAGCACTGTGGAAGTACATTGCTAGTATTTTATTCTGAAACAAGATTATAGGACATACCTCGAAGCCGAAGACTCACACATAACCTTTGGGTCAAGTGTGTCAAGACTGGTTTACAGCAAGTCAGAAAGGTATAATATACACAGCTGCCCTGTTTAAATCTGAAGCCAACAATCCAATTTCCTCTGGCCTTCTCTTCCTGAGTTCAAATTGGAGCCAATTTCCTTCACCTTTTCCCCAGTGGCATGATTTCCAGTCTTCTCACTGCTCAGATTTTCTAATTAGTCTTTACTCCAGATGTGATCTGAGCAAAATAGAGTGCATGACCTCCTTCCATTATTTGGGAATGATATCTCCATGACTGAATTCTAAGACTGTGTTAACATTTAAGTAACGTTGTCACATAATTTTTTTTTTTTTTACTGCCAAAGCAGTTGGAGGTTTAAGTTAACTCTGTTGTCAAGCCATATTTTCCTCTATTACATCCTGCAATTGATTTTTTTTTAACAATGCAGGACTTTCTATTAATAAGCAAAATGCTTTTTGACGTGAAATTTTTACTAGTCCTGACTCCACTTACTTGTAACAACATCTACCTGACAATCATTCACACTATTCTGTGCTGAACTTGTCCTGGACCTAGAAAACCCAAATATCCCCTCAATGTCATTCCAAAGACTTCTTATCTTCTAGTACAATGCTTTACACGCAGAAAATAAAGATGTACTTCACATAACTAACACATGAGAACCTGGAGTTTTACAAAAGTAAGGTATTATTCACTTGGTAAAGGAATTCACTTTGGGAAAAAACCCTCTTGACATTTGTTGAAATAGCAAGTTAATACATTGTTAGTCCATTTTTGCATGGCTATAAAGAAATACCTGAGACTGGGTAATTTCCAACGAAAAGAGGTTTAATTGGCTCACGGTTCTGCAGGCTGTGCAGGATGCATGATGCCGGCATCTGCTTGGCTTCTGGGGAGGTCTCATGAAACTTACAGTCATGGCAGAAGGCAAAGGAGGAGTAGGCACGTCACATGGTCAGAGTGGGAGGAAGGAGGGGAAGTGACACACACTTTTAAACAACCAGACCTCATGAGAACTCACTCACTATCACAAGAACAGCACCAAAAGGGTGGTGCTACATCATTCATGAGAAGTCACCCCTGTGATCCAATCACCTCCCACCAGGCCCCACTTCCAGCATTGGGGATTACAATTTGACATGAGATTTGGTGGGGACAGAGATCCAAACCATATCATTCTTCCTCTGGGACTGAAATCTCATATTCTTCTCACATTGAAATATACAACCATGCCTTCTCAACCATCCCTCAAAGCCTTAACTCTTTCCAGGATTAACTCAAAAGTCCAGAGTCCAAGGTCTCATCTGAGACAAGGCAAAAATCTTCCACTTATGAGTTAGTTACTCCCAAGATACAATGGGGGTATAGGCACTGGGTAAATACTTTCATTACAAAAGGGAGAAATCAGCCAAAAGAAAGGGAGTACAGGCCCCACACAAGTCCAAACCCCAGCAGGGCAGTCATTAAATCCTACACTTCCAAAATAATCTCTTTTGACTTTATGTCCCACATCCAGGGCACATTGGTGCAAGGGGTGGGCTCCCAAGGCCCTGGGTAGCTTTGCCTCTGTGGCTTTGTAGGGTAAAGCTCCTGTGGCTGCTCTCACAGTTTGTTGAGTGCTTGCAACTTTTCTAGGTGCAGGGTGCAAGTTGCTGGTCAATTCTACTAACTCTGGGGTCTGGAGAATGGTGGTTCCTTTTTCATAGCTTTACTAGGAAGTGTCCCAGTGGGGATTCTGTGTGGGTCCTCCAAAATAATCTACAGTGACTCCATGGCCCATGTCCAGGGCACACTGGTGTGAGGGTTGGGCCAAAAACTTTGGGCAGCTCTGCACCTGTGGCTTTGCAGGGTTCAGCCTGTACAGTTGCTTTCATGAGCTGGTGTTGAGTACCAGCAGCTTTTCCTGGAACTGAGTGCAAGCTGTAGGTGAATCTACCATTCTGGAGTCCGGAGGACAGTGGCCCCCTTCTCACAGCTCCAGTAGGCAGTGCCCCAGTGGGGATTCTGTGTGGGGACTCCAACCCCACAATTCCCCTACACACTACTCTAGCAGAGGTACTTCATGAGGGCTCTGCCCCTGCAGCAAGCTTTTGCCTGGACATCCAGGCTTTTCCATACATCCTCTGAAATCTAGGCAAAGGTTCCCAAGCCTCAGTTCTTCTACTCTGCACACCCACAGGCTTAACACTACATGGAAGCTTCCAGTGCTTACAGCCTGAGCTGTATCTGGGACCCTTTGAACTGAAGCTGGAATTTGAGCAGCTGGAATGCAGGGAGCAGTGTCCTGAAGCAGCACAAGGGGCCTGGGCCTGACCCATGTTATGATTCAGTCTTCCTAGGCCTCCAGGCCTGTGATGGGATTTAGAACTCTAAAATGCCTTTGAGGTCTTTTTCCCATTATCTTGGCTATCAGCACTTGCCTTTTAAGTTGTGCAAATTTCTCTAGCAAGTGGTTGCTCAGCAGCCCACTTGAATTTTTCTACAGAAAATGGGCTTTTCTTTTCTACCACATGCCCAGGCTGCAAATTTTTCAAACTTTTATGCTCTATTTCCCCTTTAAATATAAGTTCCAACTTTTTGACATTTATTTGCTCACACAAATGACCATAGGCTGTCAGAGGCAGCCAGGCCACATCTTAAATGCTTTGCTTCTTTGAAAAATTTCTTCCACCAGATATTCTAAATCATCACTCTCAAGTTCAAACTTCCACAGATCTCTAGGATGTGGGCACAATGCATCCAAGTTCTTTTCTAAGGCCTAACACACATGACCTTTGCTCCAGTTCCCAATAAGTTCCTCATTTCCATCAGACCTCATCAGCCTGGCCTTCACAGTCCGTATCACTATCAGCATTTTGGTCACAACATTCAACCAGTCTCTAGGAAGTTTCAAACTTTCCCTTATCTTCCTGTCTTCTGAGTCCTCCAAACTCTTCCAGCCTCTGCCCTACCCAGTTCCAAAGACGCTTCCACATTTTCAGGTATCTTTATAGCAAGGCCTCACTCCCTGAATGGATTTTCTGTATTAGTCCATTCTTGTATTGCTGTAAATAAATAACCAAGATTGGGTAATTTATGAAGAAAAGTTTAATTGGCTCATGGTTCCACAGGCTGTACAGGAAGCATGATGCTGGCATCTGCTTGGATTCTGGGGAGGCCTCAGAAAACTTACAATAATGGGAGAAGGTGAAGGGGAACAAGGTGTGTCACATGGCCTGAGCAGGAGGAAGAGAGGAGGTAGTGCCACACACTTTTAAACCACCAGATCTCAGGAGAACTCACTCACTATTGTAAGAATAGCGCCAAGGGGATAGTGCTAAACCATTCATGAGAAATCCACCCCCATAGTCCAGTCATCTTCCACCAGGCCCTGCCACAACATTGGAGGTTACAATTCAACATAAGATTTGGTGGGGACACAGATCCAAATCGTATAATACATTAATGTGATTAGGTTGATTTAAGAACATTAAATTCACAACTTTCATGAATATTTTCCTCTAATTCAAGCAAAATTTTTTCTGTAATTTAGACGTTTGCCAACTCACCATTTCACTTAGAGTAAATTGCCAGCTCCTGACCGTGGCCTGCAAGGATGGTGGAATGTCACATGGACTTGCCCCGCTTACTGCACTGACTTCATCTCTTAGCGCTCTCTATGTCACATGGACTTGCCCTGCTTACTGCACTGACTTCATCTCTTAGCGCTCTCTGTTTCACTTGGCGGCAGCCACATTGTTTCTTCTATTTCCATTTCCTTTCAAAACCTCTGTACTTGTGACTCCCCTACCTGCATGGCTCTTAGTCCACCTTAGATTAGTTACTCGTTCTCCTCATTCGGATCTGGAATCCAGTGCCAACCCTTCAACAGGGCTTCCCTGGGCTCCTGGTTAATGTCACCTGCCCCCACCCATTCAGATGCGGTTCCATCAAAGCCACAACCCTGACTTATTTTCACTACGGTCACCCTATGTCTTGTTTATTCCCAGGCAGTTTCTATGGATGCCTGCTTTCCTGGTGTAATTATTCTCCAAAGTGTTCTGGCTTAAATACTAAATTAAACACTAAATATGGTTATCATATTTATCACTTCCAGAAATGATCATATTTATTGATTTTTTTCACATTCTTCTTGCACTAGAATGTAAAGAACTAAAGAATAGAAGGCCAGGCATGGTGGCTCACGCCTGTAATCCCAGCACTTTGGGAGGCTGAGGTGGGTGGATCGCCTGAGGTCAGGAGTTTAAGACCAGCCTGACCAACATGATGAAACCCTGTCTCTACTAAATACAAAAAATTAGCTGGGCATGGGGGTGCATGCCTGTAATCCCAGCTACTTGGTAGGCTAAGGCAAGAGAATCACTTGAACCCAGGAGGTGGAGGTTGCAGTGAGCCAAGATTGCACCATTGCACTACAGCCTGGGCAAGAAGAGTGAAACTCCATCTTAAAAAAAAAAACAAAAAAAAAACTAAAGAACAGAAATTTTGTGACAGGCATTTATGTAAGTACTCAGAAGACAACAGTCAATTTAAAAAAAATTAAAACTCAATACATATTTATTGCTAGAACCAATTAAATAAAGTAGTTACAAATTTTCATATCATATATTTGTACACAAATGAATAAAAGGTCTTGAGTGAATTTTGGATCAGGTATCATTTCATACTTATTTGGACTTATACGTCAAATAATGTATAAGTAGGATAAACTCACACTTGTCAGAGGAATGAGACTGCAAAGTAGTTGTCAAACAGTACATGAAAACAACTCTTGTTTTAAAAGGTTTCTTCTACTATGTTGCATGAACTTTCTTAAAGGGAGCAGTGACTTACACATTAATAGCTGGGATACTTGCTCCACCTTTGTCAATTTTCTCTTTCATATATATCTGGTCTAGATATATAACAAGTTATTCTTGATCATTTACACAATATTCTTGTCAGTAGTCATAATTGCCACAGTTGTCTTATTCAGCAAGTCAAGTGCTGAGGTATATCACAATCAAGAAAATCAGCAGAAAATTTCTATTGGAAGGAAGAGATGAATATTAACATTGAGTAAAAAAGTTTCAGTTTTTTGAAAAATCAAGCCAGAATATTTCAGGCATTTTCTACTTTGTTTCTGAGTTTGGAGAACTTTCATTACTTGAGAAAGCAAGTCTCAAGTAATGAGTGCAGGTCTTGGCATGGTAATGGTAGATTGGATGTTATTGATTGGTACAGCACAATTTATATTCTCTATATTAATAAGAGACAGACAAACAGTAGGAGAGAGAAAGATAGTGCATATTTATTGCTTATGGGAGAGGACTTATTTATCCACAGAGGTTGGCAACATGGGGGTCGTAGCAGGCCCTTGTAAATGGGACCATTGTGTGAATAAAAAACAGGTTATCCTTTGAGAAGTTAAATTGGAAAACAAAGCTGAGGCTGTATTTCAAGTCCCATTTGTCTGCTTGGCTTGGAAACTTTGAGCAGTACAGCATCCACATCACTTTATCTGGAAGCCCTTAGGAATGGGCACATGTTACATAGCAAAGACAATTTTATTCTTAAAGGTTTGTAAAACTGATTGAAATTAAACATTTACCTGGATAACTACATAAATCCATTTTTATTCCTTTCTCATCACAGGGATACTTTATTCACATCCATGTCTTAGACACTAAGCAAAGCATTGCATAAGCATGTCATCAGGTTATAGTAAATGGCCGGAGACTGTTGCTCCTGCCCTAAAAGTACGCGTGGTCCAGATAAGTTATATAATCATAGGTGTTTTTATTTTTATTTTTTGAGACAGAGTCTCACTCTGTTGCCCAGGCTGGAGTGCAGTGGCATGATCTCAGCTTGCTGCAACTTCTGCCTCCCAGGTCCAAGTGATTCTCCTGCCTCAGCCTCTTGAGTAGCCAGGACCTCAGGAGTGTGCCAGCATGCCTGGCTAATTTTTTTTTGTATTTTAGTAGAGACAGGGTTTCACCATGTTGGCCAGGCTGGTCTTGAACTCCTGACCCCAGGTAATCCACCTGCCTCAGCCTCCCAAAGTGCTGAGATTACAGGTGTGAGCCACCGCACCTGGCCAATCATAGGTGTTTTCAAAAGCAATTGAGAACCAAGAACACAGAGAAACTTAAATTAATTAATTTTCAATAAGAGACAAGCCCTTCCAGGAAGAGAAGGGCCCATGGCTACTTTTATCCTTGATAAGTTTCTCTTTACCCCAATGTATGGTATGATTGATGTGACCAAACTTAAACAAACAAAAAACTGCTCTTATCAGTCATGTGAAGCTGACATGATAGTTTGGAATTCTGAGGATCTCCAGTCACACAGCAAACCCACACCTACCCACCGAATCTTTGTCCTAGACCTTTCCCGTGTGCACAGTAGCAGCAACAAAGACGGAGGGTGAGACAGGAGGACTGAGTAAGCAGCTACTGTGCATAGAACCTTTACTAACCACAAGGCAGGGCCCTGCTGAAGGCCTGGGGAGTGCAGGGAAGCTGCTTGAGACCCTAAGGCACCATGGGCCTTTACTGCATGCAAAGTGGCAGCAAGTCAAAGTCTGTCCCTGCTGCAGCAGGATGGCGCCATCTCCTGAGGCCGGCTGTCATGCATAGAGAGACCCTCAGAATTTCACCAATGCTCAAACTGTAAATTTTGCTTAGAAGATAAAAATCTTTATCTTTCCCTCAAAGCCAGAGGAGAACTGAATATAATAAAAGCTGCAACAAAGCCCAGACTCAGCCCAGTTGCAGATATCACCGATTCAGCTTCTCACTCTTTTCAAGGCAAATAGTATCTATCATATTTAATTCTCAATTATTCTTTTAATGGAACTTACAAAATATAATTTTTTAAATTAAAGAGACAAAAGAGGCAACAAAATGTGACCATTTTCAAGATAAAAAATTGTCCAAAGAATCAGATCCAAAGATGCAGCTTATAGAGTTAGCAGAGATATGCTATAAAACAATAATCATAAATAAAGGATTAATGGAAAAGGTGAACAATATGTGTAAGCAGATTAAAAATTTCAACAGATAAATAAAAACCATAAAAATTTCAGGATTAAAATAAGACATGGCAGTTTATATTTGTATGTACTTAATAAGAACCTCAAAATATATGAAGCAGATACTGATGGAAGTAAAAAAGAAATATATAAATTTATAACCTGAATTGAAGATTTTAATATCCCTCTCAGTAAGGAATGAAACAACTCATTAAAAAATAATAGGCTGGGCATAGTGGCTCATGTCTGTAATCCCAGCACTTTGAGGGGGCCAAGGTGAGAGGATGGCTTGAGGTTACGAGTTTGAGACCAGCCTGGACAACATAGCAAGACCCCCACCCCTACAAATAATTTTAAAAAATTATCCAGGCATGGTGGCATGCACCTGTGGACCCAGCTGCTCAGGAGGCTAAAGCAGGTGGATTTCCTGAAGCCTGGGAGGTAGAGGCTACAGTGAGCCATGACTGCACCACTGCACTCCAGCCTGGGTGACAGAATGAGACCATGTTTCAAAAAATAAAAAAAATAGTAAAGATATAGAGCTTTTGAACATTGCTATCAACCAACTTAGCCTAACTAACATGAATAGAATAATGCACACAAACACATGTATTCATAAATATTTATGACAACCAACCACATACTGGGCTCTAAAATAATTTTTAATTAGTTTCAAAGAAATGAAATCATAGAAAGTATATTCTCTGATGATAAATGTGAGAAATAAACATTTCTAATACTTTATCTAGAAAAGCCCAGATGCTAGGAAATTATGCAACAAAAAATCCACAGGACAAATAAAATATTACAAAGGAAATTAGAAAACATTTTGAGCTGAATTATAATGAAAATCCAATATACAGAAATTTATGACGTGCAGCTAAAGCAGTGCTAAGAAGAAAACCTATAGTTTTGTATGCTTAGATCATTGATTTTTAACTTTTATCCTTTTCTAATATAAACTTCCATGTTTAGAAGCTAAGGAAAGAAAAAAATCTTAAACACAAAATAAATATAATAGGGAAAATAATAAATAAAGAGCAGAAATCAATAAAATAAACTCTAGACAAAAAACAGAGAAGATCAACAAACTCAAATGTTAAAAAAGATTTATAAAATTGATAAATCCCAATGTGAACATATGTAAATAGATGTTAAATATAAAAATATATTTAAATTGTAAAACAAAACCTATCAACAAGGATAGTTCGATATAGTTGACTTCCCTAGTGAATTCCATCAAACAATGAAAGAAATATTAGAATTGTTGCCCATTTTTCTTTGAGAAAAGAGAGTACGAGTTACTTCTAAATATTTTTATAAGGCCAGCACAATCCTGAGGTCAGATATCTGTGACGGACATTACTAGAAAAAAATTACAGATTTAGATCCTTTATAAACAGAGGAAGACTTCTTACCAAAAATATTAGCAAATCAACATTATTATTATATGAAGAGTTAACATAATATGAGCACATGAAGGTTATCCTGAGAATACAAAGCTAATTAAACATTTGAAAATTAATCAGTGTAATTCAAGATGTAAACAAAAAGGAAAATAATCTTATGATGATAATAATTAAATGGCTGCAGGAAATTCATTTGAAAAAATTCAACATTCAATCTTCTTAAAAACTCCCAGCAAATCAGGAGTAGAAAGAAATTTCCTCAACCAGGTAAAAGGCATCCACGCTAAACCTACAGCTAAAATCAAATTTAGTTATAAGATATTTGAATTTCTTTCTCAGATCAGAAACAAGACTTTAACTCTTACCACTTTTAATCAACATCATATTGGATATTCTCACCAGTGCAATAAAGCAAGATAAATAAATAGATAAAAGTTACAGACATTGTGAGGGAAAATCAACATTCTATATTTGCAGACAAATTGACTGTGTTCGCATATTACCTTAAGGAATTTAAAAATCAATTTCTACTATTTTTAGTAAGTTCACTGTATATGTGGTCAGCATATAAAAATCAATACATATATACCAGCAATGAACAATTTGATGATAAAATTTAAAAATACCATTTTTTCACAGCATTGAAAACCTTCAATTCAAATACCCTGGAATGCATTTAATGAAAGATGTTCAAATATTACATGCTGAAAACCACAAAAATTGCTGAGAAAAATTAAAGGTATCTAAATATTGGAGTAATAGACCATAGATTGAAGGATTTGATATTGCTAAGAGAGTAATTCTCCCAAAATTGAGACATAGGCTTGATACAATCTACATCAATATTCCAGAAGGCTTTTTGTTTTGGTAGAAATTCGTAACATGATTCTAAAATTTTTATGTAAGTGTGAAATATTTCTAAAAATATTATGAAAGTTGGACTTACCTACCTGATTTCAACACTTACTATAAATGTAAAATAATAAGGACAGTATTGTGCTGACATAAGGATATATGATACATTAAAGGAACAGGGAGTTCAAAAATATCCCTTTGAGCCAATGCAATTGATGCCATAAGAAAAACCTTTCAACAAATTGTGTTGGAAACACTCTCTAGTAATATGCAAAAAAGATGAACCTTGGTTCTTACATTGCTCCACATGCAAAAGTTAATACAATATGGATTATAAACATGAAATCAATAGCTAGAACTATTAATGTTTAGGAGAAAAACATTAGAAAAAAATCTTTGCAACCTTAGGGTAGGCAAAGATTTCAGGCAAAAGGTGTGTATCAAAAACGCTACTTAGCATCATAAAAACATATAAAGAAAATGAATAGGCATGCCACAAACTGGGAGAAAATGTTCACATTACATATCTCTGAACAACACTTGTACCCAGATTACATAAAAACTTTGACAAGTCAATAATTTATAAAACAATGAACCAAAGAAAGAAGGCACAAAAGATTTGAACAGTTTACCAAAGAAGATATATGAAAGTCCCATATGGATATCATTAGCCATTTAGAGAAGTGCAAATTAAAACAACCAGTCAGATATTTATACCCAGAAGAATGGCTGAAATAAAAATGTCTGACAAAAACAAAAATTGGAAATCTAGAATGAAATAGTACAACCACCTTGAAAAGGGATTTGATAGTTTCTTATAAACATACCTCCATTCTATGACTGAATAATTCTACTCTTAGGTTTTAACCCAATGAAAATGAATTTTTATGTCCACAAAAAGCCTGGTAGCAAGAACAGGAAAGTGAAGAAACACACTGCAGTATATACAAAGTTTAAAAGGACACATTGCTAAAACATGCTAGAACATGAAACAGTCTTGAGAACATTGAGTTAAGGAAGCCAGGTACATAGGAATATTTATTTTAAGATTTCATTTATATAAAGTTTATAAAAGGATAAAAATCTATGATGAAATAAACAGGACAGTTGTTTTCTTTGGTGGGTGAATTTATGGGAAGAGAATCTTTTTGAGATTATGGTAAAGTTCTGCATTTTAATTTTCTTGGTGGTTACACAGATTTATACAATTGCCAAACTCAGTGGACAATATATTTAAGATGGGTGTATTTTAATATATGAAAATTATGCCTCAATAAAACAGAATGAAGCAATTATGAAAATGATGGAATTTTCAACAAGAAATGTTAGTACAGTCTTTATAAGCACATGCCGTTTAATAATGATCTATGAATAGTGCTTTACTAAGCAGTTTCATGTTAATGTTCCAACTTAATTTTCACAATAAATGTATCACATTATGATGTTATTCCCAAACTGAGAGGATAAATGGCCTACTCTAGGCTTTAGATAACTAGTGTGTGGCAAAATCAAGACTGAAACTCAAGTCTATCACCTCTTAGTTTAATGCTTTCCCAAGAAACAACAGTTGCTTTGTTGTTACATAATTCTTATCTCCAAAAACTGCTGCTGTGGGTAACTTGCTGCTGAGATCTCTGATTTACCTATAAATGACAGATTTTAACATATGATTATATTTTTATTTCAATTCATGCAATTGGAATTCTGACCTAGATCAGATTCACTCAATAATCCAAGTTAAAATATTTTCTTTGCCTTCATCGATGGGCGTTTGGGGCACCATCAGACCCCACACCCTTCCCCTATCCCAGGGTCTGGAGCAGGTGCTTCAATATGCACCGAGGGCACCACAAGCTTCCCAGGATCATAATGCCCATCACATCAAACAGTACTTTCCTATTTATATGTCTGCCTCTATCCATCATTAGTCTCAGAGCTTTTCTGCTTGTGGGTAGAGAAGAAGTGATTTCTTATTCATCTGGTATGCCAGTGCTTATTATAGTGTCTGGGATTCAAGAATCCGTCAATAAATATTTACTGAATGACTGAACAAATAGGGCAAATGCCTCAGGAGAGACAGTCATCTTCTGGTCTGCCATATCTCACCAAAACCACAGCGAATCATTGATTAATAAATTGTCTGGAAATAGTGCTCTCTTATGATGAACTTGATAATATTTTCATTGTAATATTTTTGTTGTGCTATCAAGTGCAGCTTGTTCAACTTTGATGTCACATCTTCTGAAAAGCTTTTCCTGAGAGCTGTCCTTCCCAACCACTCCCAGTTAGACTTAGATAGTACTCCTCTGTGTGCTAATGGTACCCTGCATTCATCTATCATTGACCTTATCATACTGAATAGAACTTGTTTGCTTATCTGTCACTATATTGTATAGGGCAGAGATTTTATCTGTTTTGCTTGTTGTACAATCTCTAGCACTTTGGAGAGTTATTGTCACATTGTAGTTGCTCAGTAAAGATTGTTGAATGAATAAGGCTTTTTTTTTGTTGATTATCCAATACATGTACAGCTCTGCAAACATAAAGCATGCATACCCACACATATATTCAAACATCCATCTTTTTTATTGATTGTAATTTTTGTGTTTTATTTAATAATTCCCTCTTTATTTCAAAGAATTAATTGTCCTACATTTTTCTTCTAAGGTTTTAGGGTTTCCTTTTTACATATTGATACTTAGTTCATCAATAAATGATTGTTATTTATGGTGTGACATGGTATCAATTTTTTCCATATGCATAATTTCCTCAGCACTATTTGTTGAGTAGTTTAGCATTTCCTCTCCAATTTGTAATGCCATTTATCAATGTTCTGTATGCTAATAGATCTTTTCTACTATCTATGATGGCATTAAAACCATTGTGTTTTAATTACTACAGTTTTATAATAAATCTTTATACCTGGTCATACTTTTTTTGTTCAATTTCTTCTCTCTTGATTTTATTGCTAGATGTTTCAAAAAAAGCATATTTTTTGGTTTTGTTAAAGCTCATTTGTTTCTTTCTTTCTAAATTTTATTAGTTCATTATCCATATGTCTGCTCTATTTTTAAAGCTTATTCTGACATGGTTTTGTCTTCTTGAGAAACTTATTTTCAATATTTCTCTTTTGTTAATACACAAATTTCACTTTTTTGCCTTACTTTAGATGGCTATGATGTGGTACACTTCTTGTTATTCAGTTCTAAATGTCTCATAGTTTTCTATGTGAATAACTTATTAATTCATGAGTTATTTAGGATGGTCCATTTTTAAGTCTATGTTTGTTGCTGATTTCTAATTACTGGAAGTTTTGCCCTGAGAATCTGATCTGAATGTGTATTAGTTACAGTCCTAACAGGAAACAGATGCCACATTCCAATGGGGGTAATTAAGGAAAGTTTAATGAAGGGGCTACTTACAAATGTGTCAACAGGGTTACAGGAAACCAAGAAGGGATAGTTGAAGCACTCCTAACCTACCAATGGTTGGGAGTCATTACCACTTTTAGGACTGAAGGGCTAAAGGGGAGGAAAGTTGACCAGAACTCAGAGATAGTAGCTGTTGTGGTGGGAAAGAGGTATGACATTGGAAGGGAAACTTATTTAACCTTTGGCAACCCATCATGGAAGAATCCAGAGAATAGTTACTTGATTTCACCCTCTCCCCCAAGCCAATCTCCTGCCGACAATTCCCATGAATCTAAATCAACAAGAAGATGGCTGGCAAGTGAGCCATGAGGAAGTCCATCAACTTCAGCCTCTTTGGGTACAAAGCAGATTAAAGAAAGCCAGAGGATGGATTTGGATGGTATTTTGAAAGCGTCCAGAACAGTTCATTCCTATTGTCGCCTAAAAATCTCTCTTGTCCATCTTTTGTTCAAATTAAAAAAAAGTGTTCTCAACACAGGAGACAAGAAAGCCTCATAAGCTGCCTTGTGTATGGAGTGCTGTCAGTACCCAAAACTTCAAATATTAGCCACAACAGTCTTCTCCGGATAGTGGGGGGTAGCTAGGGAGAAAATGAGTGATGAACTAGCATACAGCAGAGCAACATACATCCCTGATTCCGTAGTTGGTCATGATGCCCGAGTTGATCATTACAATGGCCAGTTTCCAGGATTCTTTTCATTTTCCCTTTGTGCTTTTACAGCAGCTTAGCTGGATTGGGTTCTTATCCTAGGGGTTATTTCAAACTTTCATTAACGGATTATCCACATTTTTGGTGTTCCCATTTGTATTGCGTTGTTGCAGTTTTCCATTGACCTGAGCTATTGGGTAAGGGAGTTACAAGTCACCCAGTGACTCTCCTGAGTTCAGACCTAGTCCTCCTGGCCCCTGTTGGGTGGTAATGGCTTGGCTTGGCAGTCCTTTTATCTAGGCTTGGTAATCCTTCTAGTCCACAACATCTAGAGTTTCTCTTATCATCAAGGTTATATTGCTCAGATTCCACTTCTTCATAATTATTTCTCCCTTGACACTAGGACCAACTCACCCCCAAAGGCAAGCAACAGTATCTTGAGGAGTTTACTCATGGTAATAATAAAAGAGTCCATCCCATTTTTATCAAACATCTGCTTCTCGGTGTTGAGATACACGGAATAAGATCAGTGGGTCCCATGGGCAGAAGCCTCTTGCTGCACTTCCTTTGGTGTAATAAGGATGCCTTATTAGAGGTGAAATTTTGTGAATTACATTGCCATGAAGAAGACATTTGCTAATTTCACCAATGATGATGGTATAGGTATGTCATGGGTAGCAAAGGCAAATCCATGTCTGGAGTTGGGGCCTCTCCCTGGGATGGCACACAGCAGCACCTGCCACGATGGAGAAAGGCTGGAGTAATTAGCCTGCCCCCAGGCGCTTTCTTGTTCTGTGGAAAATGGTGCCAAATCCTAGGCTCAGTGCTGGCCTCTGCTCTTAGAAGATTGGGCAGTTCATGGGGCAGGCAGGGTGGAGAGAACCCCCCATTTCTGTGTATATGCATGCTATTCAATGCTGTCATCACAACTGCTTTGTGTCCTTTAGACCAGCAGTCTCCAACCTTCTTGGAACCAGGGACCGATTTCACGGAAGACACTTTTTCCATGGACCAGGGGAATGGGGGGATGGTTTGGGATGATTCAAGTGCATTACATTTATTGTGCACTTCATTTCTATTATTATCACATTGTACTATGTAATAAAGTAACTATACTACTCAACATAATGCAGAATCAGTGGGAGCCCTGAGCTTGTTTTCCTGCAACTAGATGGTCCCATCTGGGAGCGATGGGAGACAGTGACAGATCATCAGGCATTAGATTCTCATAAGGAGCATGCCACCTACACCTTGCATACACCCTTGCATACACCGTTCACAACAGGGTTCGCACTCCTATGAGAATCTAATGCCACTTCTGACCTGACAGCAGGTAGAGCTCAGGCAGTAATGTGAACAATGGGGAGCAGCTATAAATACAGATGAAGCTTTGCTCACTTGCCCGCCGTTCACCTCCTGCTATGTGACCTGGTTCCTAATAGGCCACAAACCAGTACTGGTCCATGGCCTGGGGGTTGGGGACCCCTGCTTTAGACCAATGCACAGGTGCTGGAGGAGACACTAATATTTGTAACATGGGTTATCTTTTCCACTTGATTATTGGAAGCCTACATCTCATTGGATGGTCTCTGGGTATGTGGGGGGCAGTTGTGGGGGAAACAAGTATCTTCGTAACTGTGACAACTCCAAGAGCTAGTTATCTATATACTTTTTTTTTCAGACTACTTTGACGTCCATCTTCCAAACTTGTTATTTTTAAGTTTTTGAGCAGTGGTCCAATATGATAGCCTGTGCTATCAGATCATTCTGGGTAACTCAGGCCATCTCTCATTCCACAGAAATCCACAATCTGATTTATTTCCTGGACTCTGCTCCCTGGAAGGATTTTTCTCTACTACTGTCTTTTAGAGTTATCCCTGTGTGGAGCTACAATACACTTTTGGCTGGTTATATGTGTATTATGCAAAGCCATCTGTAATCAGTACTATACTTTTGTTAACTTTTCATAAGAAACCCCTATGAGGCCACAGACATATGTTAAGGACAAAGTATAGACACAGCGACAGGCATTGGTACCGGATGAGTGAACTACCCAGCGACTTGTGTAATTTACTTGTGCCTGTTCTAATACAGACTGTTACCAATGTGTATGTGAATACTACAATTTATATCTGATTGTATGACTGGGTAGATCAGAAAAAACACCGCTGTTGGGCAGTTTAAATTGCACAGTCACTTGGTATCTTATGGTCAAAGTTTCTGCCAGGGTCAAGGGGAGGCCAGGACCTGCTTATCAAATGGAGGATAGTTGCTGGCAGAAGAGGGCACAGCTTCATTCCAGAACCCAGGGGATCTATGCAGTGATGTGTCAACGTCTCTATAGAATATCTTATCCGTCTTACACACAGGAAATGCTATTGTATGTGTTGAAGCACAAGCCCTAAGGAACAAGACAGCTTGAACTACTTCCTGAACCTTCTTTCTCTTTATTCCCTCCACTTTCCACACTGGCAATCTTGGAGGTTAGCCAATAATTATAATATAGAAGCATGCTGAAATATCCTGTATGTGTCCTTCAAAATGCATAGTCTATCAAGGGTTATGTACTTTTTTGACATCAATGCTACAAAGTGTTACAACATATCTCTCACTTCAGAGGAGATATTCTAATATATCTGAGACCACTGGCTCTCTGGAAAACTTTATCACTGTGGCAGACTCCCAAATATTAGTGAACTTTATCTGTCACCTTCTTTGACACCTGCTCCTTCCTCTTATCAGATTCATTTAGCAAAATATTATTGACATACTGGGATGCCTGTGGGATGTTAAGATATTCCAGTTCTCTCTTATTTGTCTTATGATCAAAACAAGAGAGTTAGTATAACCATGAGATGAGATCGTGAAGGTGTACTGATGCTCCTGCCACATGAGGGCGAACGGTTTCCGAGAATCTTTCCTGATAAAAGTGCAGAAACATTATACACCAAGTCCACAGCTGCATCCGGGGTGGCAGGGCCATGCTGATTTGTTTCAGTAAAGATGCCACACATGGAGCCACAGCTACATAGATATCACCACCTAATTATGTGTGCAGTAACCCCAAGTAATCTTGGGGAATAACTACAGTCATTCCCCAAGGTTCAGCTGGTCTTTGCATCATATAAACAGGTAAGGCGGATGGGCATGTGCAATTATTCTTACCCTACAGGTTGTGCTAGCATTGATCCCTAAAGTGCCCCCAGACATGCAGTATTGCTTTTGCTTTATTATTTTGGCGGAGACGATGTGGTTCTAGGGGCTGTCGCTTGGCTTTTTCTACCATGATAGTCTTCACTCCACAGTTCAATGTAGGGATCCCACCAGTTATTAAACATAACCTACTTTCAATACATGTTCTGGGGCTGGGGAAATAAACACAAATTGTGCCTATTATTCCACGGGGCTCACTGTAATATAGAGTCAAGCTGAGAAGATCTGTGGCCTGGCTTCCAGAAGCCCGCCTGTGGGGACATTATTTTTAGCTTATCTGAGAATTAGCATTAGTTTACAGCCAGAGTCTGAAAACCTTCAGAAGACTCTCTGTCTTTTCTTTTGGTCTCTAAACAGCCATTCCCACAAAATGGTTTCAAATTCCGTTTGTAAGTCTTGTGGTGGTGATGGTGGCTGGTGGGGGGCGGGGGTGGATTCCCAGTATATTCCTTTGACCACAAACATATATGAGACCAAGAGAGGCAACCGAGAGCTACCGGAGTGCATGTGGCTTAACCCAACATCTCAGCTATCAGCGTTCTCAGCCCTGCGCCTTTACTAGCCCAGAAAAGGGGTCTGACATTTCGGGGTGGGGGTGGCTCCTTCTCCTCCCTGCACTGAAAAAAGAATCTGCCAGCCCCATGCAGGTGCTTTGGACATTTATGAGAACAGGTGGACAAGGAGAGAGATGAACAGGACTACAGCAAGAAGAAGAAGGAAAGAACATAGGGAGAGGAGATATGTTCAGAATAAAGAAGCGAGAAGAAGAAAGGATGGGGCAGGTAGAGACCTAGAGGAGGCAGGGAAGAAGTAGGAAGAACGGGTGTTGTTATTTCGCTTGTTTTAAAAGGTAGGAGAGGAATGAAAGGGAACAGTTTCTCGGGGGAAAAGATAAGGGCTAATTTTGGAGCAGGTAAAAGTGGACGTGAGACATGTTGCTAGGTAGTAAATGTTAGACTGTCTCTAATAACCTTTGAGGCTTGCCAGTAAAAAGTGAAATTCCGTTTTAATTATTTTTTCTCCTGTTTCCACAATACTTTTAAAATTATCTGTGCTGGAGCCCTTGTGGTGTGAATCAAATGGATTACGGCTTCAATAGGGATCCATAAGCTCCTGACCCTAGACTCTCCTGAAGACAAGGTCTGTGCTGCGGGGAGGGGTCGGAGGCAATCACCTCCTGGGGGATGGGCAGCTCAGCGTCACCAAGTGAAAGTTAGGATCAGAAAAAGGATGCTGCATTCCAGGGCCAAACGCTGCAGATGTCTCTGTTATGCTCTTGTTTTTTCTTCCTTCCACTTTTACTTGCCAAAAAACGGGGAGTAATATCTTTTTTCCCTTTTTCTGGGTTGATAACAGAGAGACTGGCAAGGACAGGCTCGCCCTTCTGTAGAGCCTCGCATTGGCCACCAGGAGGCAGTGTTGTCTGCCTCTCGAACTTGGCTGCCCAAGGTGAGAAGGTCTCGCTGTGGGAACTGGAAGGGAAGCCTGGGATTCCAGATTATTTTCAAAAAAAGGGGAAGAAAAGGGCCAGGGAACTAGGATCCGAGGTAAGCCCCTGTGGGAAGTGTGAAGACAGAGCAAGACAAAGACAAATGAAATAAGGGGTTTCTTGAAGAGTTCTGATGTACAGGTTACCTCCAACACTAGTGAATTCCCATGTCCACTAGAATTTTAGCAGAGACCACATGATCCCCTGTCAGGCGGGCATAGGAGGAAATCTACCTCAACAGGCTGATTTACCAGAAAACATCTGACGTTCAATGGCTTTGTCGAATGAGTTCCATCAGGAACTCATGAGGGCCACTGCCTCTTCATCTTTCTTCCAGCACCCGGTGTGTGTCCAGCTTCCAAGAAGGTTTGTCAAGTGAATGATTTAATAAAGCTTCTGACCCTTGTGGAGATGGTATATTTGAAGGCACAGAGCCCAGGTCTTCGTATCAGTCCTGCAACCTTAGCTGGGTGTCCTTGAGAAATAATTTCTTCTGTCTGAGCCTCACCTCTCTGTGCATAATATCATGCGCAGATATAAAATCTAATTCTCCTGAATGCTAGGCTGCAGTTATGGATATGTTTTTGAAGGGATAAAATGGTTATAAATAAGAAACACGGTTTATTCTTTTGCTGTTTTAGACTTCTTAGGGTCAAGTAAATTTCATACGTGGAGGTTCTTAGAGACTTGCCTAAGGAACTCCAAGGGGTCGGGTGGGGAATGGGTTAAAATAACAGTTGTCTGAGCAAGGGACACAAAACAGCTAGAGAGCCCGTCAACTAGACTTATGCCCTGGACAGCTGCCTTCATGGTTCAAGAGGAGACTCTCCTGCTGACCTGTCAGAAGGACAGTAATATGGGTGGCTGCTTTGCTGTTGAACCTCCCAAATTCTCCCTGACAGGCCTCAGACCATTGCAACGCTGGATTGTAAGAATCTTGGAGGCAGATCTTATGTTTCATCCAGCCAGCAGCTCTTGCTCAATCTACTCTGCAAATTCCTCGTACACTTGACTAAGATTTTCCAGAGATGTGTCCTCTGGGTGAAGACACCCTGGCAACCTCTCCATACACAATAAAATTTATGTGTTTGCATCACCAAACATGAATCTTATATTTTTATTTAATCTTCATCTGTTCTTTCTCTAGCGGCCACTGATCGAGTCACTCCATCCAAGTCAGAAGCACCGCCAAACGCACCTCGAACTTTTGGACTCCGCTTCATTTTCTACTCTACTGTGACTATTTCAATAACTTCATATCTTCATTTTATGGTGGGGGGGAGGTGTCTGGAATGTTGGAATTGCTTATAAGCCATTTTATTACCCTCTATTATGACTTTCCGAACTCCTCCAAAGTCCTGTGAGCTCACTGAAATATCTTGGTATGCCCAATGCCTTTCATCATGTGATACCTAGAGCACTCAAATAAACATTTTTGAAATAATTTGATATAGGAATGGCCTATAAGCTCTGCAGCCAAGGATAGGATCACCACCCATGAAAACCAGCTCAGTCAGGGATGCTTGCAGTTTTGTTTTCTGAGAGACTCATGCAAATGCCTACTTTAAGGAACATAGATATTTTTATGAGCACATGCTTCCATGAAATCACCTATTAATACATGTAAAATTTTAATGAACGTTAATCTCAGCCCTGTAGGTAGGCAGAGCAAATAGTACTTTTCTAAGGGTTTAGTTGCAAGATGAGAAAATTGAGCCGTAGAGGGGTTAAGTGATGGCTAGGGTCACGTGGCTAATACATGATTGTGTTGTGCAGAAATTGCATCTCTCAGCTTTGACGACGTTGCCCTTTGTCCATCGTGCCTCATGTCTCATGGCTTGTGGAGTGAGAGACTGGTGGATACAGGCTCATAGAGGTTTATAATGTGTGTCTCTGATATCTGCCCCAATAATTGGGCAGAATGCTTTGAATGTGAGCTTAAGGAAGACAAGTGCTAACTGGTAAAGTTAAGTGGTTTAAAATGCATTTTGAGATATTTCACCCAGACGTGAATTACTGACAGGTGAATACAATGAATATGGAGAAACCTCTTCTCTGCCAATGAATAACATTTTGCTTTTGGGCAAGTAGGTAAATGCAAGGAGACTGTCTTTCCCAGCTACACTTAAAAAGTTTAGCACAGGAAAAATTGAGCAATGTCCTGGCACACTCAATATTTATTTGTAAGCCTGCTCTGGGCAGAAAAAGAAAAAAATAGTTTGAAAGCAAGCTTTGCATTAGCTAGGAGTTTATTTGTTTGCCAGATGATTACATAATTATATTTGCAAAGGAACATATTGGTATGTCTTACTATTTTCTTGTTGATATATTGATGTAAAGTATATTAGACAAATTAGAAAGGAGAAGGGTAAAAATCTGCCTCGTTGTGTACATGTGTGGGCTGCAGAAGATTAGAATACAACTTGCAGAATGTGTTTGCCCATCCATTATGATCATGATTGCACTCTTCATTCTTCTATTGTGGTAGAATGATTTTTTTTTTCCTGTTTCTTCTCTCCAGCGAGGCTGGCAGCTAGGCCAGCAGGGAACACAGAGCTTTGCACAGAGTAGATGCTCAGTAACTGTTGCATGAATTTTTCTTATTAAAATGCTTGCAACATCATCTTTATTAAATTTAACTTCTGTGCATGTAAAGAAGCAGATAATGTTGCATCTGTCCACAGTCTGCTGGTGGGTGATGGGAGAGGCACTGGGGAGTCCCATTCATAGAAAGCTAGTACTGCCTGATTCTGTTAGTTCTTGGGTCTAATGATGAGCTAAGGTCGAACTTGCGTGAGGAGGAGAGTGGTTTTGGTCATATTAATCAAAAGACAGAATTCTGGGGAAGTCAACACTGGCAGTCTGGGAAATGAACTCAGAATGTCTGATAAACAATGTGTCTTATTTAGACCTGGGAGTGTCCCTGATTGTGTGTTCATTTTTTCCTTCACTGAATGAATAGTTTTTAAACTCCTTTTATGTGCCCGGCACTGTTCTAGGTGTAGAAATACAGCTGGGAACAAAAGAAACAAAAATCTGTGCCCTGTGGGGCTTACATTCTACTGGAGAAAATGGAAAATAAACAATACCAGGAGCGTGTGACATCATAAGAGTGGAGACTGTATGGACTGTATAAAGATTCACTTTGGGAGGCTGAGGCGGGCCGATCACCTGAGGTCAGGAGTTCGAGACCAGTCTGGTCAACGTGGCGAAACCCTGTCTCCACTAAAAATACAAAAAATTAGCTGGGCGTGGTGGTGGGTAGCTGTAATCCCAGCTACTTGGGAGGCTGAGGCAGGAGAATGGCTTGAACCCGGGAGGCAGAGCTTGCAATGAGCCAAGATTGCACAACTGCACTCCAGCCTGGGCAACACAGCAAGACTCCGTCTCAAAAAAAAAAAAAAAAAAGACTGTAAGATGCAGCTCATTTCTCATGGACTGGAGACATTGGTGAAACAGGGGCAGGACCCTGCAGTTACCTTTCCAGCTGGGAATTTGACATAACTAAGCCTTCCAGGACTGTATCCCTCACAGGGAGAAGCAATCAGACTTGCTGCATATATTTAAACATTCATTATCAAAATAAACCTGCTGCATGTAAATAGCTTTAACCCAATGGAAGTTATTTGTTTCTCACAGGAGGGCATTAAAACAGAGATCTGTTTTAAAACAGAGAGTTAACACCAACTCAGGGCTTTGCCAAGGAAATTTAAACAACAAAGTTTGGATGTAAGAAAATGCTTGGCTGTGCTCACCCTTGCCAATACTTACTTCCCTCTCATTTTGTATCTTTGTATTTATCATCTCTCTCCCCATCTTTCTCCCTGCTCCGCCCCCACCACCATTATCTATGTCTTGCATGCTGTTGCTGCCTCACAGGTTTCCATCAAAAAAGTCAATGCTTGACTCTTGGTGCACGTGTTACTTCCAGTTAAGTAAATATTGGTGCATTTGCCTTTGCCCTTTATTCAAAAATGGTCAGATTTTTTTAGAAGCATGGCAGATTGGGAGACAGAATAGGGGGCAGGTTTTTCTGTCAATCCTATTTTCTAAAATAAATGCTGATATTTCTTTATTCCTCTACCCTCCTTCCTGTTTTTGCCTTCTAAGTCCTCTCTGCATGTGTGTGGGGGTGGGTAGAGGGGACTGGATTATAGAGATGGATCAGTGTGCTTTCTTGCTCTATGGCTGGACCATTTGGTTCAGACACAGGCAGGGCTGTGGGAGAGAGAAGAGGGGGTTTACTTTCCTGCCCCCAAGCCTCGATTCCTGGTTCTAGGGGCATCCCCTGTCTCCATAGCTTCAGGCTTGGTAAGTGTCCCCTTTACGGCCCCAGCTCTTCCAGGATGCCCTGGTTCCTCTTCATGTCCCATTGAGCCTAGGAAGGGCCCCCCGCTTCTCATTGCTAATAGTTGCTGGGTGCTTCAACATCCTTGTGCCTATCCCCTATTGGAAATTCTCTCCAGAATTCCACTTGAACAGACCTCTTTTTCCAGCTGGGTCCTGACTGATATTGTAAATCTATTGTAAATCTAAATAGATTTACAGCTATTATAATCTATTTAAATAAAATGTTGATATAAAACATTACTATTTTGAGAAAAACCCACAGTTTAAAGGAAAAAACATGAAGATACAATTCAGATACCATGTTTTCCTTAATCATCTTAAATTATCACCTCCATGAACCCTATTGTTCTTCCAGCTTCACAGGTGTCACTTCTATAAAATCACTCTTAGTTTTTTGATTTCAGGTTAGAAATCCTTCTCAAAGGATCTCTTTGACCCACAGGCATCTCAGCTTCAGAGTCAGCCAAGGAGAAAGACACACACCTGTAACAGTAGAAAGGGCAATTGGGGAAGGAGTCGGGGGTGGGGAGCAACAAAATTCCACCTCGGGGAAGACGTCACTGAGCAGCTGGCATTGTGAACGTCCTTGCAGGATGCCTAGGACGAGGGTGACAAGCAGCAGGTGTCTTTTACTTGTGACGATCTCAGCCCTCGTGCAACTGGAGAAAAGGCAGGTAGAGTGCAGGGTATTTGGGGAACATGAGTCGTTTTGTGAAATTGGAGCTGGGTGGGAGGGTGGGGGCAGCAGACCGGCAGGTCGGGGAGGCTGAGGTCACCCCTCTTCATCGCCCAAACTCATAGCCTGCTATTAAGGCAATTTTCCAAAGGTTCTATTTCCGCCTTCTTTGAGAATGCCATTTACTCTTCCTTTCTTACTGAATGGGGTAAGAAATGTCCTCTTTCTGTCAGTGTGAAAGCTGCTATTAAGAAAAAAATGATCTGAAGGAAACGATTTTCACCTTTTATGTGGAAGCAAAAGCATCAAGGTACAATTTAGGTATTTACCATACAAAATCTACAATTTAGAAAAGATAAATTTTGACCTTATTTTAATTCTTTGTCTTTTAAATTGTAGAGTTTGGATTACTCCTAAAAATGTAAATGATGATTCCACTAAGTTAGACCCATTCTGCCTTTCAGCACATGCTCCTGCTTGAGTTTCAACATTAAATTCTCATGCATCTATTTGCTTGAGGGTTGGAATAGATTTTAGGAAGAACATTTGAAGGCTCAAAAATGATTTCATTGCAATCTCTTTGTCTTCTGGCCTCCTCTGTTTATCTCATTTCTCCCTTCCCTTCCTTGCTTGTTTTCAGGTTCCTTTATTGCTTCTCTTCTACAAATCCTCACCCTTCCACACACTTTCACCCCCAAGTGGGGCACCTGTCCTATGGGGCCCCCAGGAATGGAAAGACTTGAGCCCAGTGCCCCCACTTGGCTTCACCAGCCTTCCCTAAGTGGGCCCTTGGCCAGGGATTTTCCTGGGATTATGGTGGCACTGGAAATAGAAAAATGGGTGACATAAGGGAAGATGCTATTGGTGACAGGGCCTGAGCACTGAGTGAAGAGATGGGAGAGATTTACAGTTGACTCTGAGTTTGTAAGCCTGAGAAATGGGAGCATGGAGGATCATTTGAGAGAAGGAGAGATGAGAAGGATGAGGAGAGAATGCAAGAGGATGGGAGGATGTTTGGAAAAACATTGTGATAAAATGCATATGCTCATGGAGAATGGCATGACGGTTGTCCTATTAGCTTGAGTCACCTGCATGTCTTGTGGGAATGAAGGGGGCAGCAGAAAAAGGGAGCCATCCAGGCTTGATTCCTGGGACCTGTGGGGAAGCCCAGTGGGGGTGCTGATGACATTAAAGTTTTAGTCCCTAGACAACAGAGGATGGTAGGAAATTGGTGAACATAGGCTTTGTTCCAGAAATTATTCTAGAAAAGTTGATGTAAATGCAAACTTTGATAATGGTACTGTATTAGTTTGTTCTCACGCTGCTATTAAAGACATACCCAAGCCTAGGTAATTTATAAAGGAAAGAGGTTTTCTTATTTTCACAGTTCAGCATGGCTGAGGAGGCTTCAGGAAACTAACAGTCATGGCAGAAGGGGAAGCAAACACGTCCTTCTTCACATAGAGGCAGCAAGGAGAAGTGGTGAGCAAAAGTGGGAAAAGTTCCTCATGAGAGCTCACTCACTGTCAGGAGATCAGCAGCATGGGGGTAACCACCCTCAGGATTCAATTACCTCCCACTGGGTCCCTCCCACAACACGTGGGGATTATGGGAACTACAATTCAAGGTGAGATTTGGGTGGCGACACAGCCAGACCATATCAGGTACCATGTGAACTATGAGAGTTCTATTTTACAAAGGAGAAAACTGATGCTCATAAGTAACTTGCCCAATATCACATGGCTATCAAGTGTTAGAACTAGAATTTGAAAATAAATATGACTAACTGACAAGTTTCTGCCCTTTTAAAGAAGCTATGTTCCTTATCTGGGAGGTCCTGGGCACTTGGTTGGAGACAGATAGGGCCTCTTGGCATGGGTAGGCATGAGGCTTTGTCACTTTGCACCTCCTGTCCCCACACCAACCCACCCTCCACCAGGAGCAGCAGCAGCACCAATGTTGTAGTGTGACAGGTCCCCACCAGGCTGCTTAAGGGCATTTGTCCATATGTCCATGGCTTGGACCCTGAAGGCCAGGTGGTGAGCCAAGGCCATGGTACCCAGACAAGGAGCAGGTGTTCATTCCTGAGAACTCAAACATACTGAAGTGTACCTGGTAATATACCAAGAAAAATAGTCCTATCACACACACACACACACACGGCAAAGAGCCAGAAAATTAGCTTAAAAGCAACTTAAAGACAGCAGGCAGTGGGGATCTCTAGAGCTGTCTTGCTGCCACCCAGGAGAGCCCTGGATGTAGGTCCCAATAAACTCATTTACTTATCAAGCTGGACTTGATGGAGTCATTCTTTGGTCTCTTGGCTCCTTCCCAGTTTGCAGGGGATGTTACCATCCCAAGTTCTTCCTGTAACAAATATGCATTCAGAATGGCTCTCTGAATGGCATGTGACTATGCAATTTATACAAGCTGGGGAGTTAGCCATGAAGAGACCAAGTGGTACATTTCTTTAATGAAATCACACACGACTAGGATCAGTGTTATATGCTAGCTCTGGTTCTCTCTGAATGATGTCCAAGGACTCTGCCTGAACTTGTTAGTGAAAGATGAGCCAAAGACAGGGAGGGAATGAGTCAGGGAGCGTACATCCACTTCCCACAAGGCTTCCATCAATGGCACCATGCATGGGACTGTAAGATTGAGCCAACTTGCTGAGATAAAAAATAACTTCATCGTGATCCCTTAGGAGACAGGACTAAAAATAGAGATGCCCTCTGTGGCTTGAATGAGAAGTGCCTGGAGAAGGAAAGGCACCAGCATGCCTGGTGGGGGTTGCTTCTCTGTGCATCTTCATGTAAAACATCAGGGGCTTCCAGTTTTCTGACCCTTTAAGGAGTTTTTTGACCCTTACTCTCACAAGGTAGGTGGTATTTTTTTGTTTTGTTTTACAAATGTGGAAACAGAGGCAGAATTGTTACATGGTTATGTTAGAGTAGGTAGGTAGGCAGGCATAAGCAGGGCAGAAGAGGGCCCCCCTCCAACCCAGGAATGTCAGGCGAACATCAGGTGATGGGTCAGGTGGTTGTTAAATTGTCTCTCTAAAATAATAATTGGTCTCAGCCAGTGTCAGGGAAAGGCAGCCTCACAATAGATAGAAAACACCTGAAGCTGATGATCAACAGCTTCCCAATAAGATCTCAGGAGTTGGGTGGATGGGCTCAAGCATGTGCACTAAGAGGCAAAATGATGGAGTTTGATGGTGTATTACCTTTATCTAGGAACACTTGACTGGTAAGGGAAGAACACCTCTAGTGAGCATGTGCACAACTTCGGTAAACACACTGTGCATGCAGCCCCTCCAAAGTGCTGGCAGGCCACTGTGCATGTGGAGAGCCCACCCCAGTGGAAGAATCAGGGGAGAAAAGATGTTGATATGGTTAGGCTTTGTGTCCCCACCCAAATCTCATCTTGAATTGTAATCCCCATAATCTCCACATTTCAAGGAGAGACCTGGTAGGAGGTGATTGGATCATGGGAGTAGAGTCCCCCATGCTGTTCTGGTGATTGTGAGTAGTTCTCATGAGAGCTGATGGTTTTATAAGTGTTTGACAGTTCCTCCTTCATACACTCACTCTCTCTTGCCTGCCACCATGTAAGACATGCCTCTTCAATTTCCACCTTGATTGTAAGTTTCCTGAGGCCTCCTCAGCTATGTGGAATGGTGAGTCAATTAAACCTCTTTTCCTTATAAATTACCCAATGTTGGGCAGTTCTTTATAGCAGTGTGAGAATGGACTAATACACATGTCAATGTATAAAACCCCAAGTCAAAGGTCAAACAGCACACTTGAATCTCTCAAGTCACCCGCTTGGCCCTCTTCCAAGTATACTTTACTTTCTTTCTTTCCTGCTCTAAAACTTTTTAATAAACTTGCACTTCTGCTCTATAACTTTCCTTGGTCTCTCACTCTGCCTTATGTCCCCTGGTCAAATTCTTTCTTCTGAGGAGGTAAGAACTGAGTTGCTGCAGACCTGTATGGATTCACCATTGCTAACATACTTTGATGCCATGACTCAGATGCATTCCCTATTGGGAAGACATCTCCATACCTCACCTGCTTTGGATGGATGCATTCAACCCCCTTTCGTGGGTTCCCTCTCCCCTTTCACTCTCCTGCTTACTAACCAACCCCCAAAATGATTCCTCTTGGCCACAGTGGTTCTGCTCCCCCTGACTGATCTCTCAGCTCACTCTGATGGGTGGCCTACTGGGTGGGGAAGGACCTTGGAGTCTGCACTGAGTAGACCTGAGACACTAATGGCCCTCCTGGACAGGAGACTCACGAGAGTGGTAGGGTTAAAGCTTAAGACATGCAATGTCTGGGGTTTCCTCTGCCCTTTCAACTAAAATCAGCTCTTTTCCAAGACCCTGCACCATCTACTCTCCTGTTTTCTCTGTGTGTGTTCTGAAATGGCCTTGTGCATCCATGGGACCATTTGCTTGCAGGAGGCAAGTCTGCCTTTTCTCTGCTTTCAATTCACATGCTGTGTGACTTCCTTCTTTGCCCTAAACACACTCCCTGTTATTCACGCATCCATGGCTCTTGCTATGTTTGCATAGCAGCAAAAAAAATGGGCTCCCTAGTGGATGTCTGTTGGCTCACTGCTGGGACAGACTCTAATTGGAACCCCAGCTCTGCCAACTCCTTATGACTTATCATACACTTTGCTTGTCATCTGTGTTACACTGCTGGGCCTAGCTTTTGAAACAGTTTGTCCACCTGCATTTGTCCTCATTCTGTGGCCCTTTAAGGATCCCTACTTGATTTTTTTGAGTTAGCATCCCTTTGGGAAGAGGGAAAATTCTTCCTTTGCCATTTGTGATCCCTTATCGCAGGCCCCATCTCCTCCAGATGTTCTTCCTTTATGTCAAGAGGGCAAATAAACATTGCCCTCTCAAATCCAAGGGCTGCTGCTTTTGCGAGCACATGAAGGCTTTCCATGAGTATTCCTCACACTTCTTCCCACTTCCTCCTGTAGCAGAGGGATTGTCCTGTCTGCTTAAGCATGTGTTCTGTATGTTACCCCTGGAGGATGAGGAAGCCTAAATACAAATTTTCCTCTATTCCTCTAATCACTTCCATGCCCTCAATACACATCAAGGCCTTCAAGGCAATATTAGAAGGGAGGGAAGTCCAGCAGTAGCTGGCCAAAAAACAGGGTTCTTGTGTACTTAAGGAACATGGGAAATGAGAATCATCATTTTGTTGCTAGACTGCTCTGAGTGAGAGTCACTATAAGGTCATGGAGACAAAGATATAGGCCAGCCCATGGCCACAGGCACAAGAGAACCATAGGACAAAGATGAAGGCTGGTCCTAGGCTAACAGATTACCATTAGAACAGAGAGGAAGGTTGGGGTACATGGTTAGACCAGTTCATTCCAGTACCTCAAGGATGAATGGGGTGCCCCTGTTGACTCTGGTATCTCCTCTGTTCTCAAGTGGGTAATTTTGATGAGATGAGGCCAAGGTTAAGGTTACATAGTAAGACTGGTTCATTCTGGAACCCTAAGGATGAATGGTGGATGCCCTGTCCAGGAAAGGATAATAGAGCAATAAGAAGGGATGCCTTCTTTTTTCTTATTTTTTTCTCCTCTGTCCTCTCTTTGCAGATGGGTAATTGTGTCCATAAACCACAGGATATGCCCTTTGGATGCATCCCCAAGAAATCTGGGGAAAAGTTTGATCCCCCAAACCTTAAAACAAACAAAAAACTATTTTTCCCTTGTAATACTGTTTGGCCTAAAAATGAACTGGGAGAAAACTATAAGAGTCAGCTTCAGAAGCCAGTGTCCCTGTGCAGGAAATCCTCAAATTAGCCTCCTTAGTCATTTATAAACCATATGGGGACAAGAAGAACAGGGCTAGGGAGAAAAGAGAAACATGGGGACCAGAGGCAGTCTCAACTATTGGCTGCTTTATAAGCTCTTCAGTCCCTTCCAGGTTGCTCTAAGGACTCTCCTCCAAGTAACTACCATCAGTGCAGGAATCCAGGCCACTGAATTGCAAATTGCACTAATGGGATAAATGGGAAAAAGCCCCACACAGCTTTCCCCCTCTGCCACAAGGTTGGCCACTGGAAATGGGACTGCCCTGAGATTCAAAGGGCCCCCAGGACAGAATCCCAAACCCTGATGGCTCTGAGCTGAAAGGGCTTTGTGCTCCAGCTGGCTTCCAAATCAGACATTGTAATCTACAAGACAAGGCCAAGGGCAACTTTGGAGGCAGCAAATAAAATTATAAATTTCCCTTTGGGGTTCAAAATCTCCCTACTCTGTGCTAATCTCCTTCTCTTAGCAACTCTCCTTCAAATACTGTTGGGTAATTGGGGCAAATGGCACCCCCTCCCTCCAAAAGAAAAGATTAACACTCCTTTATATTACTCAAGGGATCAAATTCCATTCTCCTACCAGTCTCTGGTAATGTTGAAATACCCTACATCTCTTTGGGGCAAAAATATACTTTCCAAGATGGATGCCTGTGTAACATTTACCCAACCTCTGATCATTTTCTCTCTAATAGCTCTATTTCTCCTGGGAAAGTTACCTAAATCTTTAACCAATAACTTTAACCTAGGAAGTCCTACCTCAGGGGTTTAGAAATAGCCCATACTTATTCAGATAAGCCCTAGCAAAAGTCTAGCCAAGCAATCTTTTGTTGGGGGCTGTCTTCTACAGCATATAGATAACCTCCTCATCTGCTCCCCCTTCACAGGGCTTGCACAGCAACATGCAGTACAAACCTTAACTTCCTAATGGAAGGAAAATGACTTTTGTTTAATTCAAACATTTTTAAGGTAAATAGATGTTTTTGGTAAGAAAAGTTATAAAGAAAAGATATTTTATATGAGAAAGGATCTTGTTTGGTAAATTCTTGTGCTAAAGTAAAATTACTGATTGTTTAAAAGAGGGATATTTAGGACAAGTCAGAAAGTTGAAGCATGTCATAGATGCTCTGTGTAAGTTGTGAAAAGGTTCGTGAAAGGGAATTAATAAAAGAAATGTTACACAATTTTAAAGGTTATTAAACCTATTAAATGCTTCATAAACTGCTACCATAACTCTTAACTGTACAACTTGCCTGCTTTAAAGCTGTTAAATTCTGAGTAAGGCCTGGGGACATACAGAGTTAGCCGTGTACCCTAGCTATGCTGGAAAGAGTCAAACCTGATCTTCACTTCTATCTCGTGTTCTAGGCTCCAAAGCTAATACATAATTAGAATGGCTTACTTATGAGGTTTTTCACCAAAAGTAAAAGTAGTTAAGAGACAACAGTGTAACATGTACTTGAGACTACTGGAAAAACAGTTTTACATGCAGGATGTGTAAGGAAAGTAAAATGTGCTTTTGGTAAAATATTATATGAAGGCATGGGAATGTGGATTTTTGGCCTAGTGTAGAGGGTTAAAGGATTGTTTGAAGTTAGAAAGCATAAAACTGAAGGTTTAAGCAAGTTCTGGAAGGTTTGTGAAAGATTAATCTTGTAAAAGAAATTCTGTATAGGCATATATTGGCTACAATTAAAGGCGTATTATTCAGTTTAATAAAATAAAAGCAAAGCACAGTTTTCTTAAAGCACTTAAAGCACTGTTTTTTAACAGAAAATTGTAAAGGGTTATAAAAGGTTAATGAAAATCTTACCTTATGGTCAAACTGATTAACATTAGATAAATTTTTCTATAAGGTTTTATTAAGAATTGCATTTGACATCAATAGTACACTAAGGCAAAGGTAAAATTTGGCTTTACTTGGACTGTATTTGCATAAATGTGTTATTGCAGTGTGTTTCAAAATTATGCAAAACTCCTATAATTCTAGTTTGACTTACTATACAGTAATAATTATAATTGTCATGTTAAATTATTGTGTGCCACAGAGGTAACAAATTTCCTTGTCAATTGTGTCTTCAACTGTGGCTGTCCAAAGACATTTAGTCATCCACAATTGTTATTTTGTTTCAATGCCCTTTAAAATGTAGTTTTATAATCAGCTATAGGACTCTAATAGGTGCTCTTAAATGCAGGTTTCTGATAACTTTGGAGATTGTGACATTATAATAGAGGAAAACTTTTCAGGACTCTCACAGAGAGCTAAAATATTGATGAATATCAAGGAGAAGAGGAATTAATTGCATGGACTGAACTAAGACTAAAATAATACTTTTATGACTTTTTGCTTAAAATGTTGCTAATCCTTTGTTTGTTTTTCCAAGCCAAGAAAACTTTTCAGCTTTTAACAATTGAATAAAGTGTACTATAAACAAAATTAGGAGCACATTTATCTCTCCTGGATTTCTCCAATATTTGGAACTTATTTGTGAGTGCTCATAACTTACATCAGTATAGTTATTTGAATAAGTGCAATAATCTGTTTTTTTCTTTCTCATCTATTGATTTATATTTTGTAAGATTAAAAGGCTTTGTGATCTGAGAAACTGTAAGCAATTGTGTTGCTTTTCATCTTCAGGCCTGCATTTCTTGTAAAGCTAGGTGATATGAATATTGGCCTTCTCACAACTAAACATATAAACTGATACACATAGCTTTAACATGCTGTTTTCTTTTGTAACAGGACAAAATTGGAGACACTGGTTATTTTCCCCAAGGCTTTGAATGAATGACATGCTTTCGGATACAAACAGACTCCTTTAAGAAATCAATGTTAACTTAGAGAGCCAATAAAATCCCCTTGGGAAAAGTGGACCCACATCTTGTCTACACAATCCCTGTGCAGGCTTTCTCACCTGTGGTAAGTAAAGAATGTCACGTTCTGACAGGCCCAGGGGCCCCAAGTTGTCTTGGGACCTCAAGAGGGAGGAATTCATCCAACTCATACAGTTATTTGGTGGCACAATCCCATGCCTGGGCTCAAGACTTTTAAAAGTTTTATCCAAGATTCCTTATGGAACAAAGTTCCATCAAAGCCAATTTAAAAAGGAACCTATGTAACAAATAATTATTCTTGCTGTGCTTTATGCAAATAACAGGCCAAGTATAACATGACTGAAGTTTATTTTGGAAACAAATCAGTCCTGTGATAATTTGTTTTTAATAAGAATGAGGACTGCAAAGAGAAAAATTATGTCTTGAGAATTGTGGTACACCTGTAATTTGATTCTAGTCTCATCAGTTGTTTTTGAGTTTTTTTCCTCTGCAAGTTAGACTGACTCTGCTTATTCCTGTGAACCAACCAGTGATCCATGGCTGAGGCTCAGAAGAAACAAGAGGGATGGGCCATCAATCACCAGATGATCCTCAGTGAGGGATAATATCCTCTCAATATTTGAGTCACACTTCTACAGAGGACCCCTCAACTGCCCATCTGTGGGACACGACAGAGGCAAAATCCTGCCCCTGTCTCTCTCGGACCTGGCTGGATACTGCTTTCACTAACCCACGAAGCAACCATGCCCTAACAGCTAGCAAGAGAATAAGACCCACAGAACAACCACCACCACCTCTCTGTCAGCAGGAAGCAGTTACAAAAGACTGACCTTTCCCAACAAATTGGGTCTTGAACTCTTGAGGGGGGAAATGTTAGAGTAGGTAGTTAGGCAGACATGAGCAGGGCAGGAGAGGTCCCTGCCCAACCCAGGAATGTCAGGTGACTATCAGGTTATGGTCAGGTGGTTGTTATCTGTCTTGCTAAAATAATAATTGGCTGCAGCTGGTGCCAGGGAACAGTATCTCCCAATAGATGAAAAACAACTGAAGTTGATGACCAGCAGCTTCCCAATAAGATCTCAGGAGTTGGGTGAGTGGGCTCAAGCATGCACACTAAGAGCTGAATGGCAGTGTTAACAGGTAAATGACCTTCTTCTAGGAACGCCTGACTGGTATGAGAAAAATGCCTCAACTAAGCCTGTGTACAACTTCAGCAAACACACTGTGCTTGCAGCCCCTCCCAAGTGCTGGCAGGCCACTGAGCATGCAGACAGCCTACCCCAAAAGAAGTAACGGGGAGAAGTAACACAACCCCAGAAGCATCTCAATACATAAAACTTCAAGTTAAAGATCAAACAGCACACTTGAATCTCTCAAGTCACCTGCTTGGCTCTCTTCTAAGTGTACCTTACTTTCTTTTGTTCCTGCTCTAAAACTTTTTAATAAACTTTCCTGCTCTAAAACTTGCCTTGGTCTCTCACTCTGCCTTATGCCCCTTGGTTGAATTCTTTCTTCTGAGGAGGCAAGAACTGAGTTGCTGCAGACCCATACAGATTTGCCACTGGTAACAGTTAGAATGAGATATAGAAAAACTGAAAGCAGATCCTGGGTCTCCTAGTACTTAGCCTGCCTCTGTGTAGTATCATAATCTTCAAGACAGAAAACTGAAGTGGCCAATCTCCTCTCAGAGAGTGCAAGGGTTGAGACCAGGAGAAACAGAGGCACTATTAAAGGCCAGGATTGAGGACGCACAGCAGAGCCTGAGTGCATGGCACATTCTGCTGCCAAAATCCACACCCTCTACAAGAAATATTTGTTCAGTGCCCATTATGGGCCAGACCAGGAATGTGGACATGAACTGGGGGTTCTCTGCCCTCACTAAACTTATTTTTAGAGGGGAGCTTCAAAATAAATAAGATAAACAAACTAGATAATTTAAGACACGGTGAGTGCTCTGAAGAAATTGCAAGATGGAGATGCAATGTGGAGGGGAATCAGGTTCGTTACTTAGGAGAGCTCAGAAAGGACTTCCTGAGGGTGTGACTTTTGAACCAAGACCTCAGTGATGATTGAAACTCACTGATGGGAAGACTTGGCGAAGGGCTTCTCCAGGGAAGCTCGGGGGCAGGTTCTAGAAGGGAGGCAGGGCTGGCTGGCTTGGGGACATGCTGTGTGTGAGGAAGCAGTGGTTTTCTTCCTAACCTTTATAGGGTCCTACCTGTCTTGACTCTTGCCAGCTT